>NC_000009.12:39100909-39252424 GCF_000001405.40 Homo sapiens | reverse complement strand
AGCTTAAGAAATAAAACACTTAGTAACTCATGCTAGTACTTGATTATTCTTTTGCTTATCAAGTTTTCTTCTTTTTATGATTATTATACCTTTAATTGCGAACATTCATTGGATTGGCTCAGTAGCATTTTATGTGAGACAACTTTCCATTTTAATAAGTACATATTCTCCTTCGTTAATGTGAAATAGAAGTGCAGGAGTAGGGATGAAATGGATAATTTTGCTAGAAGCAAATTGAAACTGGCTAGGCAAAAGCGTATATGTATTTTGCCCTCTTTTTCTGTTTTTAGAAAGTGCTTGCGTTAACTCTCATTCTCAGCCAGAAGCGTTAATGATTCAAACGGGCTTTATATATTGAAAACCATGAACTCTCACGTGCAGAGTACAATCAGGGAGCAAGCCCGTGGGTTTGAATGGAAATTAACGTTGGTGTATGGGAATGAATTTCGCAGACAAGGATAATTTAGAAACCTGTGTGCTAAACTGCAAACACAGAGCAAATGGAAACATACTGGATCTTTTCCCTCCACTCCTCGAATTTCTCCACTATTCAGATGTCCTTCCATGTGATCATGCTTTCTTGGCACACTGACTAGGTTCAGTGATTAAGAGGCAGAGAAAATAATTACTGAATATTTTTAATACAAAATGAATAGCTCAGGATATTTGTAAGGGCTTTTCAATATCAAGATATTTATTTCCCACATTAGAAAGTATAACTCCTAATGAAAACTTAGCACCATAGTTTAAAATCATATTAATAAATAAAAGCAAAATTCTTACATTGGGGAAATGACCCACAAATGGTTTGTTATAGTATGCGATCTTTAACTACTTGGAATTTCCACTATTCTGCACAGTGCAATATCCCAAAACAGAATAGGATGTGAGATTTCGTTGTTTTGTATGAGGAATCTAGAGGAAAGAAATTGATAAAAATGTATGCAATAATTTAAAAATATAAAGAGTATCAATCTCTGATAGAATAATGTAAATGTAGCAAATATTTAAGATAACTAATCTAATAAGAATTAAATTCCCCTACATTTTTCTTCTCCCCTCCCCTCCCCTCCCTTTTCCCCTTCTTTCCCCTTCTTTCTCCTTTCCCCCTTTCACCCTTTTTCCCTTTCCCTTTCCCTGAATAGCTGGGATTACCCTTGTCCCAAGTAGCTGAGATTACAAGCACCCACCACCAGGCCCGGCTGATTTTTATATCTTCTGGTACAAATGGGGTTTCACCACGTTTACCAGGCTGGTCTCCAACTCCTGGCCTCAGGGGATTCGCCCGCCTTGGCCTTCCAAAGTGCTGGGATTACAGGTGTGAGCCACCACGCCTGGTCCTCATTTTTCATAAAATCAAAATTCTTGCGTATTCCCCTCCTTAGCTTATAGGTCAGAAGCTACACTAAGCTTCCCAATGTGCCTAGGTGTTAGATGTGCCAATTTACATATACAACAAAGGACCTGAAAAGTAGAACATTAATACAACAGAAAATATTTTGCCTGAGGATATTGTTTACTAAATTTTTTATCTGTGCCTTTTAATAGTTCTTAGAACTAGTAAGTCCAATGGCATTCTATTTTTATGCTTTTTTTCCTCAGATTTGTAGCATATGACAATGTGAATATGTTACAAATGTTGAATGATTTAGCTGACTACAGGCCAAACAAAATAGCATCAAGTTATCTATAGCAAAATGTGTTTCGGTTGAAGAAATATGTAGATTTTAAAGAAATTAATCTTATTTACTTACGCAAAGAGTATGCTTCAGCAGCATATGTAACTTTAATTAAAATTCATCTAAAATAGGTTGTTAGTACTATGACAGGAAGTGGCATTCAAACAAACAAAATATTCATAAGGATGTTAATATAGATTAGACATGAGAACAAATATTTGGCTGGTCTGATTCTCTTGGGTCACTTTAAAAATTATTTTTAAAATTTTTGAAATCGAGGCATAACTTAAAATACAATTAAATGCATAAAGTGTGCCATTTGGTTAATATTTACAGATGTATATGCCTGTATTACCAGAGCCCAGATCAAGTTACAGATCATTTCATCACCCCCTTACCATTTGTTAATACTTTTTATTGATTATCTAGGCACCTCCTACCTATCACTGTTCTACTTTCTGTCATATTATTTAGGTTGGCTTGTGCTTTTGAACTTACAAAAAGTCATACAGTACCAAAATCATACAGAAGCTTTTGTATCCAGCTCCCTTTAGTGAGCATAAGGTTTCTGAGATCCATCCACGTTGTTGCGTGGATTTGTGGCACATTTCCTTCTATTGCTGAGTAGATTTCAATTGTGCTGTTTGTTTATCCATTCTTTTTAAAATGGACACTTGTGGCTTGTTTCCAGTATGGATCTATTATGAATAAATTTCTACAAACATTCTTTTACATCACTTTTGGGAGTGGAATTTCAGTATGTGAAACTCTAAAGAAACTGTCAAACTATTTTCAAAAGCCCTTGAACATGTTATACTCTCATTGGCAATGTGTGTCAATTCCAGTTGCTTCTTATCCTGGTCAACATTTGGTATTAAAATCATTAACCATTGGAGAAATATAAGTTAATATCATAGAGAGATAATATGTTCTCTAGGATGGCTAAAATTAAAGAATGACAACACCTGTGAGCTATATTACTCATGGCACCACAAACAACAACATGAGTTTCAGCATATTTGTATCTGTCTCCTTTGCCCCTGAGGCCCACAGGGGCAATGCAATAGGGCACGTATGAATATTACACTCATAGCAGACTTGTATTGCAGCTGAGAAATAATGAGCTTGGGGAATCTACTGCAGTTATAGCAAGTAGTAAGTGAGAAAGCTCTTTGTGTGGAAGAAAATGTAACCTCACCTCTCAAGGTTAACCAGCTGCATAAACAACCATGAAAAAAGGGTCCATAAAAGAGTTTTTAGGCCTTTGTAGTCTTAGCAGACCCAACAAAACATGTAGGAGTGCAAGCTGCTTAAAGTGGACTGTCTCTCCATACATTATTGTGTATGGATAACATGATCCTATATGGAGATCTTCTAAGAAATCTAGAAATCTAAAAGACACCAACTAATAAGTGAATTTTAGCAAGTTAACAGGATACAAGGTTAATATACAAAAATCAATTCTTTTTTATGTAGTAGTAACGATCTGATTATCAAATTAAGAAAAGAATTTCATTCACAATAGCATTAAAAAATAAAATACTTAAATGTAGATCTTACGAAAGGTGTGCAGGACCTGTTCATGGAACACTATAAAACATAGCTATTAGAAAATAAAGAAGACTCAAATAAATTGAGAGACACACTATGTTTATAGATTGGAAGAAACTGGAATTGTCCTAATTGTAATAATCCTAATTGTCATACTTTGTTGGTGGGAATGTAAATGGTGCCACCACCTTGGAGAATAGTTTGGCAGTTTCTTAAAAAGTAAAAGCATGTACTTACCATATAAACCAGCAATTCCACTCCAAAAAATATATGTCCACTCTAAGACTTAAATGTTCCTAGCGGCTGGGCACAGTGGCTCACACCTGTAATGCCGCCAGTTTGAGAGGGCGAGGTGGGTGGATTATTTGAGGTCAGGAGTTCGAGACCAGCCTGGCCAACATGGCGAAACCCCGTGTCCACTAAAAATACAAAAATTAGCTGGACGTGGTGGTGCACGCCAGGAATCCCAGCTACTCGGGTAGCTCAGGCAGGAGAATCGCTTGAACCTGGGAGGTGGAGGTTGCAGTGAGCTGAGATTGCATTGAATCTTGGCCTGGGCAACAGAGCGAGACTCTGCCTGTTGTAAAATGTAAAAAAAAATGTAAAAAAAAAAAAGTAAATGCAAAAATGTAAAAAATGTAAAAAAAAATTTATATATATATATATATATTCATAGCAACATTATTCATAGTAGATGATATGGTTTGGCTGTGTCCCCACTCAGATCTCATCTTGAATTGTAGCTCTCGTAATTCCTAGGTGTTGTGGGAGGGACCCAGTGGGAGATAACTGAATCATGGGGGCGGTTCCCCCATACTGTTCTCGTGGTTGAGAATCAATCTCACAAGGTCTGATGGTTTTATAAGGGGGAACCCCTTTTGCTTGATAGTCATTCTGTCTTGTTTGCTGCCACGTAAAATATGCTTTTCGCCTTCTGCCATGATTGTGAGGCCTCCTCAGCCACATGGAAATGTGAATCCATTAAACCTTTTTTCTTTATGAATTACCCAGTCTCAGATATGTCTTCATCAGCAGTGTGAAAATGGACTAATACAGTAGACAAAAACTGGAAACAACTCAAATGTCCATCAGCCACTGAATGGATAACCACAATGTGGCATATTCATTGAACTGGTTGCTATTTAGTAATAAAATTAAAGCTACCGATAGGCCATGATTTCTTTATGTACTTAATTGTTCCTTAATGTTACCAATTACTCTTAATGAAGAATGCCGTCCCACTCCTCTCTAGGATTTTCGCATCGCTCTCTTACAGTTTGCATTCTTCCTTCTAAAAATGTTGTCGTTTCACTTTTTTCCTGTTCAAAAAAATCCAGTGATAACATGTGACAGCTCAACTGTCATGCAGTTCTTGGCAAGAAAGGTGAGGTTGAATAGGAAACTTCCTATTTACCAGAGGCAACTGGAATCACTCAAGAATAAAGGGACACTGTATTCACCATCATATTGCCAGCTTCTGCTCCGGAGAGATGAAGTACATGTCTTTAATATATTCTTCCTGATAAGTACATTTTAAAAGGCACTTTATATATAAAATAAACATAAGAATGAAAAAATGTAGGGAAGACAGACCATCTAGGAACCTGAGGAATTGAGGAAATTGAGATAGAAAACAAATTAGTGGTTGCTATGTATAACTGTAAAGGGTACCAATGAGGAGGATTGTTGTGGTAGTGAAGTCGTTCTCTTTCTTGATTGTGGTGGGGGTTACGGACCCTAAACGTGTCATACAACTACATAGACACATCGTTTCCTGGTTTTGATATTGTACTGTAATTTTATAAGATGTAACCATTGGTAGAAACTAGGTGAAGAGTACACATCACTTCTCTGTACTATCTTTGCCAATTGATGTGAAGCTATATTTCAAAATAATTTTTTTCTTAAATAACATTTAATTTCTGACTGGCAGTTTAATTTGTGCTTCAAAACGGATTCAAAAGGACTATGACCAATGATGAAAATGGTAAATTACAACAGTTGGTCCTATAACCAACTCTCCTACATTAGTTATTAAAGTCAGTGTTAACGGAGGCATTCCAGAACTTCTGTAGGACATGGTGCAGATTCACCTATTTTCTTTCACATTAATTTTTGCCAACTGGATTTTTTTAGGTTGTCATATTTTTTCCAAAGAATTCAGTGGGACAAACTTTAGCAGAATTCTGATGCCCCACATTGTACCCGATGTGTGCTTGCCTCTAAAAAAATTTCTCTGTTAATAGCAACTTAAAATAAACATTATTGTAATGTTTAGAGGACATTCCTTTTGCATCATATTTTGATAGTGTCCTATTACATGCAATAACAAATGCATGTCTCTTTTCATACGAGGCTTTCACAGCAATTTCATAAACTATAATTAGTTTAACTACATAATATCCTTAGGAAAAATGTAAATATTACCATCTCTTTTTTTTTTAGGGGGTGGGCTAGGGGATTTTGGTTGACTGAGCAATCAATCACATACAGATGGATAATTTGGTATTCACTAAAATATTCACTTCTCAGCATTTCACTCTCGTGTTTCCTTGCATGATATCAATTGTCATTTAATAAGAAAGACAAATACACGTGTTTAATCACTCCCTGAAGAAGGTAAACACACTATCTGTGGGAAATGGAACACAATGAGAGGCGTGCAGTCAGCCTCAGGGTGCCCTGACTCCATTCCAGCCCTCTCCTCATATGCCCCGTTTGCACATCACCCATCACTTTTGCCTAATTGTTTCTACTCACCAAGTGAAGATAATGGCTTCTTTGCCTGCTCAAGTGATAATTTGAGATTATATGTCTCATCAGATAATTTATTGGATGTATGAAAAAATGCACAATGATGGTTTTATTGAATTATGCAGTTAGTTACCAAGATGAATGGAACTACACCTACCCAAAAATCAAGATGTGGTGGAGATAACGGAGGTTATAGGCTGAGTCATTTAACCTTTAGGGCTCTTTCTGATATTTTCTGTGAGGGCCAAGTAGAGTTCTCAGTGGAGTGCATGTGAGTTTCTGCCAATGGCCAGTGGAGCAAGTGCCTGCAAGAGGGAACACTCCCCCAACTTCTGGGGTGATAAAGGATTTCTCACTGTCCCACCAGCCTGCACAGTAGGTTTCACCATTTTGTTAACTATTCCAGCTGAACTTTTCTTACTGACCTCTGGTTTCATCTATGTAAGGTGAGATCCTGCTCACATCTCTCCCTGTGAGGTTCATATCTCTTTAGATTTTAGGCTAGGTGGTGGTTCTGCAAGCTCAACTCTCCAATGCATTTGTAAAAGATCATGAACTTGAAGTTGGTTGTAAGAGTGGAAATGAGGCTCCTTATAGCTTTCTACTTCCTGGGGCAGAAGCCAGAAGTTCCAGCCCATAGATTTTGATAAGTTGTATTTTCATTTTCATTCAGCTTGAAATACTTGCTAATTTCCCTTTTAGTTTCTTCTTTGATTCATTGATTATGAAGTATGTGTTATTAGTTTCCTAATATTCCTGGATTTTTCAGAGAAGTTGCTATTGTTGATTTCTTATTTTAATCTATTGTATATCACAAAGATATACTTTACATGACTTAAATGATTTTAACTTTGTTGAAACTTGTTTAATGACTCGTTTAATGGTCTATTTTGGTAAAAGTTCCAAATGAACTTGAAAAAGAATACATGTTCTTCTGTTAGGTGAAACATTCCATAAATATCAATGAATCATATAGGTTGATAGTGATAATTAATACTTCTGAATCCCTATTTTCTGTCTTCTTGTGCAATCAGTTACCGAGACGGGGTGCTAGAATCTCCTACTGTCATTGTGGATTTATCTATTTCATTCAGTTTTACTAGGTTTCATTTCATGTATTTTGAAGCTCTGTTATTAAGTGTTTGCATGTTTAGGATTATGTCCTATGATGAAAGAACATCTTAATCATTACGAAATAATTTTCTTTACCTTTTATAATAATTTTTGCACTGAAATCTACTTTAATATAGCCAATCCAGCTTTTTTAAAAACTATTATTGGCATAATATATATTTTTCCATGTGTTTACACTTAGGCTATTTGAGCCTTTTTTATTTAAAGTGTGTTTCTTGTAGGCAACATATAGTTGGATCTTGCTTTCTCATCTAATCTGACCATCATTGCCATTTAATAGGAGTGTTTGTACTACTTGCCTTTAATATGATTATATGATTAATTTTAAGTCTAACATCTACTATTTGTTTTTTGTTTATTCTTTGTCCATTTTCAAAGCTACTAGGGAGTGTAGATGCATTTTGTAAGAGAATACATTTTATAAATTGTTATATACACTCTGAGATTTTAACCATAATTGCAGTACTTTTTTTATGAACACATTTTTAGTAGGCTGAATATTCTTTCTGCTTCAACCTGCTAAGATTGAAGGAAATACTGCTGAAATAGAACATGTACACAAAGACAGATTCTGAGGGAGGGTTTCTGTATTTTTTACTTTAAAACAGCATAGTTGAAAAAGACTGTAGTACCTGATTCTATATCTGTGTAGTTAGCCCTTTTTTTTCTAAATGAAATTAGATCTCAGGTAAATGTTTAAATTACCCTCAGCAAAAAGGCAGACCTACTGACAAAAAGCATGGCTGTTTAAAGCCTATAAATCTCAGAAGTGGAATGAGGGAGTTGATTTAAAGCCAGCTTCACTCCTCTTCCCTATAAATTACATATAATCACACTGGAGTGTAGGAGCTGTGACAGTCCCTACCTCACATCTCACTTCCCACCTCCTGCTCACCCCAGGTAATACCTGAAATTTTTAATGTGAATTAAAATGCAATTAGATGAGGAAAGAAACAAATATATCTGGATAAAATCACATTTGAAACAATTTGTTATCTTAGTGGGAAGTGTCTCGTGGGGACAAGGTTGACTTAACTGTGTGTTTGCTTGGTATACAGAAGTCCCTAATAGTGGCTGGCTTTGAACATTTACTTTGTTTACTTATATTTTGTGCCTTCAACATCAAATTTAGTTAAGGAAGGTATAAGATTATGGTGATATGATGATAATTGTAATGATGATGATGATGATTTACCTGTGCATTATTTCCCCTGTAAACAAAGTCAATACATACTCTGTGACAGTGCTGTCACTTATGACTAGATACTATAGTCATGGGAAGTTTTATTGTTGTTAGTCAGAAATAATTAAGGCTCCAGCTGTAGGGTTTCTACTTTTCTTTCACAGAGCCCCCTGCCCCAGATAGTGAAATGTAACTTTGACCTGATGTAAGTGCAGAATTATAACAAACAGATATAACTGTACAAAATAGAGACATAATCATGCCAGATTATTCATAACCAAAAAGTACTAAGTGATTGACAAATCATGTGAATATATTCATGGACAGGGATAAAAATGAAACATAAGCTGATTTTAAAAATAATATCTTTCCATGTGTTTTAATTAGTGATTTTATTTTCTCATCTGTAAGGTAGATACGATAAAGACAACCCACTGAATGCTTTTAGAAATAAAAAATGATAATATGCTTGAAAATATCTGGTCGAATTCTCAGCATACAATATATGCTTCAGAGTTTCTCACTTCCCCCTTTTCCCTTGTTTTCCATTACAAAATAAGTGGCAAAACTTTAATAATTTCCTCAGAACTTGAAAACTTAAAAGTGGATAAAACGGTTCATAAGATAAATCCTATGTTGTGTGAACATTTAGGGACAAAACAGTTAGCGCAGCTCAGCATCTTCACTGTGGTACCAATATCAACCTTTATAAAAACGAATTACCCTTTAAAAAATAACATCTGCTGTCCCTCAAGCCATATAAAGTGTAAGAGAAAGTTTCAGTTGCTCAGCATATTTTAATCTCATTCCAGTAATGGAACATGTGTGTCAGAACATATATTATGAATGGAGGGGATGAGTTTTCATAATTCATAGGATCTGTGGGGTAGAATTGTGACACTTTATTTAACTCAGGTGCAATGTCTTGTCAGAGGCAGGGGGAGGAGGGTGAAGTGGAGAAGAAACATTTGTTATGGGGGAGAGGCTGAGCTTAGAGGACATAACTGCTTCCCCTGTTTTGTGTACAAAGTTTTGTTGACCATAGACTAGAAGGGACTATGAAAAGACACTTCCAGGTTGAAAAGTAGTCAGCACATGTATAATCTTGACTTAACAAATAGAAGACTTTCATTTGTTTTAATTTAAAGACAACAAAAATTGAGTATAACATCACATTTGAATAATAATTTAGTTACAAAGTGCTGTAGTTTCAGTTATCCCATTGTCTTCCTTACAGTCTTGTGACGTGATTTATATGACTGTTAATCCCCCCACTCCCAACTTTATGCTTTTCTTTTTTAAACAAAGGACAACATTTTTGTCTCAGAGAGGCTGAGTGACTGGACAATTACTACACTCTAGTTGGGGGTGGAGTCAGCCAACCTCCTTTCTCTTTCTGTTACCCATAGTGGCCTTCTATACCAACCATCAAAGCTGCCTTTAACAAAGGCACACAGACTAGTGCTATCCAGCAGTGCACAGGTCAGTCACGCTGTGTTTCCCACCATTTCCACTCAGCGTTTAATTAAATTGTGTGCACAGCAGCTTACCCTTAAAACGCATCTGGGATTGCAGATTTCCTGAGGCTACAACATCCTGATGAAATTCTTTGGTAATGCCAGAATTTCATTACTTTATCAGTAATGGCTGAAAATATAGCTTATTTGCATTTGAGTACTACTTCATCAAAGGTAAAATGAAGTCACTGAAATGTGTCATCTGTTACCAGGAGTGCAACCATGAACACCAACAAACTAACAAACTGTGAGGGATGCCGAGAAGAGGGATGGCCAGCGGCTCCCTCTTCATCTGATGAAAACACACCACCCCAGGGTAGCACACCAGAACCGTGCCAACTCATTTTCCTCCTTGTGCTTCTCCACATGTGTTCTCATAGTAATTACTTTTCTAAACCTGGAATGAGAGGGAGTGAAAACACCAAAGAAAGGTTATGAAATACAAGCTGAAGAGGATGCCCTTAACTAAGATGAGGGGAAGAACCAAAAATATTGAATAGTTCCTCAGAAGTTTCAGCTCTGTGTATAAAATTCCCAATGTACAACATCCAGCCTAAGATGATGGGTTGGCTGTTAGCATCTCCCTCACCTTCTCCCAACTCTTTTAAAACAGCCATAAAATAGGCTGGGCCCAGTGGCTCGTGCCTGTAATCCCAGCACTTTGGGAGGCCGAGATGGGCAAATCACTAGGTCAGGAGACCGAGACCATCCTGGCCAACATGGTGAAACCCCTCTCTACTAAAAATACAAAAATTAGCTGGGCGTGGTGGCACGTACCTGTAATCCCGGCTACTTGGGTGGCTGAGGCAGGAGAATTGCTTGAACCAGTTGGAGTTGGAGGTTGCAGTGAGCAGAGATCTCGCCACTGCACTCCAGGCTGGTGACAGAGTGAGACTCCATCTCAAAACAAACAAACAAAAAAAACAACAACAAAAAAAACCCCCATAAAATAGTAATAAGAAAAACAGAAAAGGATACACAGTTTCATTAGTGTTGTACCTAGGACTATTGGTTGCTAGTTAGACCAACCCCAAAAGGATCTCCCACCAATTAAAGTTTACATAGGCTTAGGAGAGAAGAGTAGATCTGGTGGAGTCAACAGGAAGGGCCAGTAGAGAAAACCCCATTGGCACTGCACCCTCAGCTTTCCGAAACCCAGACCTTGCCTGACCAGGAGTAGGAGAGGTTGCCCTGCTGTATGGGGGCTGCTGCCTTAGGTAGCCAGACCTGCTCACTCCCAAACGTCTTTACATCTTTGTTACATTTATTTGAGAAACACCACATCCCATGATTATCATCAAAATAATATAATAGAAATATTTAATTGCACAGGTTCTGGATCCAAAGCTCATGGGCCCCTTGCTAGATGCGTAAACATAGGTGAGCTGCCCACCATATATGGAGGGTAGTAATGAGGCCTTGTCTTTTAAAGGTATGTTAGGAATTAAATGCAAAATTTATTTAAAGGGAACTCTTTGCCTGACCTAGAGTTCTCAAATGCTCGATAAGTGTTCATTGTTAAATTGAGTGATTATGGAAGTGGGTAGGTGGAATTCTGTTACATCCTGAAAAGTTAAGTTGGAAGGAGGAATGAGCAGAGAGAAGAAACTGTGGAAGTAGTTCCTACTGAGGGCTAAAGAAATCTGTGCACTGTCTCTGGCAGGGGCTCACATAAATATTGCTGTAAATCATCCAAGAATAAATATTGCCCGATCTAGGAAACCATGTTGCATGAGTGGAGGATGCCCCTGGTCTGTAGCAGAACATTTAACTTTGAACAAGAGCTGTGTCCACCTCCTAGCTGTCTGGATTAAGAAAATAAATGGAGTATTTTAGTGTCAATCAGATGCACAGTGTTGGTTACCAATAATTTTCCATCTTGTCTACTAGATCAAATTCCTGACTCTTCAATTCAAAACATGGAACAATAAAAAGCAAAACAAACAAAAATTATATATATGTCTGTGTACATACTATATATATAATATAAACTTTAGAGGTGCTTATTGTACATTCAGAGGAAAAATATTTTTGAACAAAGATTCACTACAAAAATATCTTAGAATCTGACTTCTAAGAATCTGTAAACTTGGGAATCATAAGGAAACAGTAGTTAAGTGTGGTCATCAATTCAAATAGGTGCCTAATATTTATATTTATTATTTAAGTATGAATTGTTATTATTTAAATATAAATATTTATATTTCTCAACACTTCCCCATAATAACTTATATTAAAGTATAATGTCCTCACTTATTCGTTTTTACACCTAGCTATATTCTAATAATATCAAACTTTTTTGGACATGTAGTGAAGTACTAAAGACTTTACAAATGAGGACATAATGATAAACCCCTAATAATAAAATACACAGTATAAGTCAATGAATAATAATGAACTGTCTAGAACTTCAGACTTTCTATCAGAGCCTTCAGGTAAGTGGCAGCACCAGGGAATAATAAAAGTGTTCTGACTCCTCGGCTTGGGAATTGTTTATAGAGTACTCTCTTTTTCTAGACATTGATTATTAAAGAAGCTGTGGTTTTCGAGTGTCCCCTAATTCTATTAGACTAGAAAAATAACAAACATCAATAAAACATCAGCGGACATGCCTATGTTTTTGTTTCAGATTTGGCATTGGTCAGAGCAAAAAGCAAATTTTCTGCTCTGCACGCATCTTCTTCAATACCCGACAGTCTCCTTTTCCTTGTCCAAGGTGGATGAGCACTGTGTGAGACTTGCCCCAGTTTCCCTGCAGTACTGCCAGAGAGAGCAGAGTGCACCAGAACCTGCTTAGGACTCACCTTGACCATTTGCTACTCCATACCTTTTTGTATTTTTTTACCAATATCTCCTCCACACCCCAGTTCCTCGTAACCATCACTCTCCTCTGTACTTCTGTGAATTCAGCTTTTTAAAATTCCACATGTAAGTGGGATTGCCTCACAAAGCACTCTATGTTTTAACTCTTCTTTTACATCCATTTCTCCTATGAGACTGTAAGCACTTTGAGTGCAAGGTCAATATATTAACCGTCTTTGTTTTATCAGTGCTTAATGCTGTACTTCCTACTACTGGAATTTAGTCTCTTAGGTTGGCAAAGGGCAAATCTTGCACAAGGGCTATGAAATAACACTAGTTCCAAAAGTTGACAGGAATGCTCTAGTGGCCACCTGCATTAAACAAACATTTTCTGCAGTCAGTAGGACACCTGCCTTCTAGAATGTCAGGGGTCATCTAGCTAAATGTGAACACAATTTAGGGTTCATCCAGTCACATGTAATTCTTCTATTTTTTCTATTGTAAATCGATGATTTTCTTAATATATATTCATAATTTTATAGTTTTCTAATCTAGTAACAGCTATGTTTAAATAACTTCCTCCTCTACCATTTTTATACTTTTTCTGTTTCAATAAAGGAGCTGGTGGCTGGACTCCACTTGTGTCAAATAAATACCAATGGCTGCAAATTGACCTTGGAGAGAGAATGGAGGTCACTGCTGTCGCCACCCAAGGAGGATATGGGAGCTCTGACTGGGTGACCAGCTACCTCCTGATGTTCAGTGATGGTGGGAGAAACTGGAAGCAGTATCGCCGAGAAGAAAGCATCTGGGTATGTTTCTAATAATAATAATTGCTACCTATTGCTGCAAACCTATTAGAAAAACAGAATTTTAAGAATTACTTAGAAAAAAATGTTCTAAGTGAAAGTAAGATACCTATTTCATTGAAAGCATTGAAAGACAATCTTATATTATACCATTAAATAGTGTGGAAGTTAAAAAATAATACAAATCATATATAATTTATTTTTTCTTGGTTTGCTTAATAAAGTAATTTAACATTGCCTCTGCATTATTTTAGAGTGGTAGATTGAATTCATTTATTTTCTCTGATTTGATCTGATGTTTTTGAAAGACACTGAAATTTCAAAATGTAATAAATGAGCAGTTTCTGTGTGTATGACAAGTACAGGAACACAGACTTTGAACTTGAAGAATTGTGTGTCCTTTATTAAGCAGCCAGATTTAGTTTTTCTTGTTTTTTTTTTTTTTGTTTTTTGTTTTTTTTTTATTTTAAGAGACAGAGTTTCGCTGTTATCACCCAGGCTAGAGTGCAGTGGCACAATCTTGGCTCACTGCAGCCTCTGCCTCCCAGGTTCAAGCAATTCTTCTGCGTCAGCCTCCTTAGTAGCTGGGACTACAGGCGTGTGCCACCACACTTGGCTAATTTTTTTTTTTTTTTTTTTTTTTTTGTATTTTTAGTAGAGACAGGGTTTTGCCATTTTGGCCAGGCTGGTCTCGAACTCCTCACCTCAGGTCATCCACCCATCTTGGCCTCCCAAAGTGCTGGGATTACAGGAGTGAGCCACCGCGCCTGGCCAGATTTAGTTTTTCATAGACTACAGATCTCTGTGACATTCTCTGAATCTGTAAATATCCTCATAACAGTGACATTATTTCTGTTTCTGATTATATGTCAGTGCCTCTTTGCCAGGGTAATCACTTTTTGTTTGACTTTTGCAGCTACTTGGGAGGCTGAGGTAGGAGAATCACTTGAACCCGGGAGGCAGAGATTGCAGTGAGCGGAGATCGCACCATTGCACTCCAGCCTGGGCAAAAAAGAGAGAAACTCTGTCTCAATAATAATAATAATAATAATAATAATAAGTATTTATTACATAGTGTTTGAAAGTAACCTGTATCTGTTTAAAATCTTGCTCTGCATTGATTAATAATGTTTAAAATGTTGTGGACAGTTTCCCTATAAAAGAGATGCTGTAAGAGAAGACTCATATAGAGTCTGCATCGTATTTGTAATTTGGCTCTTTCTTCCTCCTAAAAAAAAATACATCAATGACAGAGGTACCGTCAGCATTTTTGTTATCAAGTTAAGCAGTTCAGAGGGAAACCATAGCCAAGGCAATGCCATTTGCCAATTTTGCTTACTCTGAAAGGTTACTAGCCTGCGGGGAAAGAGCGTAAAGGTTAAGGTTCTTACTAATCCAGAACACTTAAAATGACAGATGTCAACTCTCATGATCTTACCTCGTGTAGGAACGTGTTGAGCTTCACTGGAACAAGTGATTTACTTTCCTGGTGCCCGCTCACAGTGTGAGCTTCCTTTCAAAGTCACTGTGCCTGCCTTTCATCCCTGCATCTCTATTCTGGGTTGACTTGTGGTTTCCCAAAAACATATGTTGGAATCCTAACTCCCAGTACCTCAGAATGTGACCTTAATTGGATATAAGGTTTTTACAGAGGTAATCAAGTTAAAGTGTAGTCAGGAGGGTTGACCCTAATCTAATATGACTGGTGTCCTCATCAAGAAGGACCTTTGGACCCAGAGACAGTTATACACACAGGGAACACAGTGCAAGGACACATAGGGAAGCAGCCCTGTGAGGAGGGAGGATTGGGATAATGCATGGACAAGCCACAGAACACCGGAGGCACCAGCAGCTAGGAGATGGGCATGGAACAGATCCCTCCCTAGAGCCTCCGGAGGCAGCATGGCCGGCAGACACCTTGATCTTGGACGTATGGCCTCCATCACTTTAGCTACCTAGTTTGTGGCACTTTGTTACAGCAGTTCTGGAAAACTAACTCAGCCTCTAAAGCCTAACTGTGCCTAACAGGACTAGGACATGAGGAAATGTTTCCTGAATGAATGAGGGAAATTCATCCTCTCCCAGGATGCCTTTTTTGAACAACCACAATGAAAATGGTCCTTCCTGGCTCTGCAGATCTCTAGGACTTGTTTTGGACTAAAACAATGAAATGTAGTGCTATGAGGGTTCAGGACTCAGCCTTCCATCGTTTTGAGCTAAAAGGTTTTTGGGGATAGGGCTTTATCTTTGCATCTCCTTCATCCTCCATCACTGTGACTGGCAAATTGTAACCATTTAATAGCTTCATTTCCTACTCTATGACCAACTATACAGAATTTGCATGGTGAAAAAAATGTTAATGCTACTGAAGAGAGAACCCACAAAACAAACCAGAGATGGTTCTTGTGAGTGTTCAGTTATAAGACACAGACCCGAAGAGACTTGAGAATGGCAGGCCTTGGAGAAAGCGTTACCTCATGGGTTGTTGGAAAACAATTCAGGAGGATATTTCAGAAAGCAAAAGTAATGCAAACAAAACCATGGATAATGGATGAGATACACAAAAAACAGTGAGCTGTAAGATGTGAAATGGCTGTTCAGACTGAGATGGAGAGAATATGGGGAATTTGCTGAAAGTTGTAAAATTGCAAAGAGAGAGGCTGTCAAGTTTGGATTATAAAATACCTATGTAGATATTTGAGTTTCTTTTTTTTAAAAAAACTTTTACTTTTTGTGAGTGCATAGCAGGTGTACACATTTATGGGATTCATGAGATACTTTGATACAGGCATGCAGTGCATAATAATCACATCATATAAAATGGGATATCCATCCCAAGTATTTATCCTTTGTGTTACAGACAATCCAATTATACACTTTTAGTTACTTTAAAATGTACAATTAAATTATTATTGACTATAGTCACCTTGTTGTGCTATCAAATCCTAGGTCTTATTCATTCTTACTATTTTTTTGTGCCCAATAACTATCCCCATCTCCTCCCCAGCCCCCCACGCCCCTTCCCTGCCACTGGTAACCATCATGATTCGTGTTTCTTGAACTGCTACATCAACATCTCAGGGACATATTCTCCATTTGTTTATTCATTAATCCATTCTTTTAGTAAATAAGCAAATAATTATGGTAGAGGTTAGTAATATACTCTTGGGAAATGTGAGCTGAGTCATAGTTATCATATTCTTCACTAGGCATGTCCCTTGTGTCTAGTATTTTTCCTATCAAAGCTACTTCTGTAGAAATAAATTTCACTGACTGTCTCCTATTTATCATTTTCTTAAAAAGATGGGCTGATATTGACTGTCCTCCAGTCTTATCATTGCTGCCTTAACAATAAATTACATCTCTTATTAGAGTTTCTGCCCTTTACCAAGGCATTAATTTTAGAAATGAATGGATGATATTAAAATAACTTAAGATTTATTTTTGATACCTAAAATATTAACACTCTTGATTAATGAAAATTATGTTTTTATAGGCTTATTATCTTTCCCAGCACATTATTATCTTTATTATTATTATCTTTTCCTGACCACAGCTACATCCCCTGCCCTCAGGGTCATCGTATTAACCTTCCTGTACCAGGAGAACAGAATGCATTTCCAGCTCTCTCCTAGGGATCCTGCTGCCTCTACTTTTATGTTAAGGACACGTTAAAAATGCATTCTCCAGTCTTATATATTTCTTGTATGCTCTCCCTCTGTCTTTTTATGGCTTTGTTTTTTTTGGTCTGGTTTTACCCATTACCTATGCTAATGTTTTCTATTATTAAAGATCCACAGTTGCTTATCTGCAATTTTTAATTCTAAAAGCAAAATTCTTAAAATGGTGAACCCTAAGCAGACCCAAATTTATTTAGCAGCAAAATCTGAATGTACTGACTTTGCGGCTATTTGCATTTTTTACTTTCTCTGCTTAATGTGAATATTCATATGTTTTATTGCAAAAATAGTAACATATGTGATTACCACCTAGTCACTCATATTTGGTGTATACACAGTATGACCTTTCTAATATATGAAATGAATCTGAATCTAAAGCAAATCTGATACCAAGGCTTTAGATAAGAGATTGTACAGCTGTCATATCAATCACTGACATTTGATTATCTGAATGGATTAATATATCAATCCACATTCTTACTAATTACATGCTTCACATTGACGCTTCAAGGGCTAGACTGAGTTTGTGTTGAGAAATACCCAAGAAAACTAGATGTAACTGCCAGATTTATGGAATCTTCAGAGTAGTAAAAGCTCCGTTGAAAAGAGAGAATCCCTGTTACTTACAACAGGAATACATGAATCTTTTCTGAGTAACAGAACAAGCTTCATTATGTATTATACTTTCAGTTAACAAAATGTGTTTCAGGACACAGACTCACTTGAGGTGAATAATCTCCTCATCTGCTACATCATTTTAAAAGGTGCCATTACTCAAACAAGGTCAAAAGAATAAACAACAGAAGAGGGAAGATAAAAGATAATTTTCTGGGATAATCATGTGTGTGTGTATATATATATATACATATATATAGTAGTAGTAATAGGAATGGCCTTAAAAAGCCACGTGGCCTAATAAGAACAAATGTTCTGAATCAGAAAGAGAGAAAAGATATTTAGAAATCCACCTAACCATGTCCTGGAATCATGCTGAGAGATTATACCATAACATTCTATTAACCATAGTCCCAGATTAGCAATCACTGACAAGCCATTTTCCCTCATGTCTATTTTTCACTTATTTCTGAAAGAATAAAGAATTAAATCTGCAAGGAAATATAGAACTTTTTAATTCATTGTGAAATTTTCTTCTGGTTGGGATTAGATATATTCAGGATATTATCCATCCCTGACATAGGTTTCAAGTTCCCCTCTGAGCACCAGACTCCATTTCCTTTCGGATGTCAAATAGTCACGTCCAAAACTAAGTTTATTATCTCCATATCCTTCCCATCACCAAACCCTATTGCCCCTGGGCTTCCACCTCTCAGTAAATATCACAGCATTTACCAGTTGTTGGCTTGAGCCAATATGCGTGGAGTTACCAATGACTTCCATTCCTTCACACTCCACGATCAATCCATAGGCATATCCTGTCAACTCAGTCGTTAGACAGATCATGTCAGTCACAGCTTCAGAGTATATGTGGAGTCTGACAACTTTCCCTCACCTCTGTTATTACCATGACAGCCCAGTTGCCCACCATCTCTTACCTGGACCATTGCCACAGCTTCACATCCCATCTTGCTTCTGCCTTTGCAACTGGCTTCCAATTTAAATCTATAGAATTTTATTTTCTTTAATTCTTTCTGTAAATTGCCACATATTTTATGCACCATATGAATGTAGTCATTTTCAATAAAGAACTGACCTTATTTAGATAAAAAGAAATAAGCAACTTCGACCGTATTCTCTGCTTATCTGTGGCTTCAAATATTTTGTGCTATGTTGTTCTTCTAGCTGCTCTTTAAAAATGTCAAGCAAGATCCATCTTTGTACTAGCTATTCAGTATCTCTGAAATTTTCCCCTATAGCATAGATAGCTTCCTCAATTCGTTTCTTGGGTAAATTATCTCTTCCTGATAGAATTCTTCTAGATAACCTAACCCCTAATGTGCACAGAACACACACACGCAGACACGCACGCACACAGCTCCCACTGCCCTCCCCACCCCACCCGCCTCCAGCCTGTGTCTTCCCTGGTTTTGTGTTTCCTTATGGAAGTCGTTATTTCTTGTTCCCATGTATGGAATTTTGTTTTTTCCCTGTCTGTCTCTATTCACTAGGAAGATTTTATGCAAAGAAAGAAAATGTTCTCTGAATAATATTATTGGACTTTGTTTTTTAAAACTTTCTGACAAAGAACATACAATTTGCTATAACTGAATTCTTGTTTCACTGGTCTTTATCAGTGTTGAGAATTTTTGAGATCCAAAATGTAGAACCGCTCTAACTGGGAAATCTAAAAAAGTGTCCACCAGCTGTCATGGGACGTTTTTGGGGCAGTGGACAAAGTGCATTAGTAGATCTCCCATGGCCTGTGTGTATTTGTTCCTAATTGTTATCTTTATTTTCCGGGCCTGACTGGAGCAAATGTGAGTGGAACTAACGGAGGAGGCAGAAGGAAGGTCAGAGGTTGGAGATCTGCCCATCAGCACTGAGCCCAGAGGCAGCAGCTGTCTGGACTGACTCGGTACCTGCTATGAGAGAGCAGGAAAGGATGGCAGACACTGCAGTTAGCACAGAGACAGAAACATTCTCAGTCTGAGTGTGTGTTACATGCCAGACACACAGTTGGTCGACAGTAGGGAAAAGGGAGGCTGAGGGTGTGGCTGGGTAGCTACCAAGCCGTGAGCCAGTGGTGGGCAGCGACACAGTGAGTCAGAGGAAGAGCAGGTCTGCAGGACACGTCAGCCCTGCTGCCAGGTGTGGTGTCATTCCAAACAGCTGCACCTGTGGGTCCAGAGGTGGTCAGCGGATATCTAGTTTCAGTCGGCCTTCATTCTGCCTCTGGCTGTCATGGCCACTGGGTTACTGAAATCATGGCTTGTTTCCTTCTGTATCTCTCCATCTTCATGTACAGCTTCCCTTTATCCAACACGAAGTCAGGCAGATTGTCCTTGTAAGGCAAACTAAACATTAGCAGAGGCAAGTACACACACACAACACTCAGGAAGTTAGAGAACATTCTTTAGTCGCTTGAAGCAAAAGGGCTTTTCCTGGCTAGGAAGCAAAAAGAAAACATTGTTTCTAAACTTGAAGCTAATGCCATCTACCATTTATGAAGAGCTCTTTGTGCATAAGGCTGTGTGCTCTGGGTTTCCAGCACTCCCACATTTAATTCTTGCACAATTCCTGTAAGGGTTACAGTTTCCAAGAAGGTAAAGAAACAGTCTCTGGCTGTGAAAGGGCTCTTTTTCACCTTGTTTCCTAACTCCATTTCTACAATAGCAAAGGAATGAGAGACTTAGTGGTGTATTTGTCCTTATGAAACATTCCCACTTATATATATATATATATACACACATACACACACATAAATGATCCTCCTGCAAAGCAAAATATATGTATATATGTATACACATAATATAGATAAAGATGTATAGATATAAAATCCATCTGAAAAGCAAAGTGTAGAGAAAAAAGAACACAAAATCCTGCTAGGATGTGGTGCCAATTGAATAGGAGACATTTCTTCATGTGGATTTAGAGTTGAGCAGAGTAGCCCAAGCTTTAGAAGTTTGTTTGAGATGGATCTGTGCTAGCAAGGAATGTCACATCAAGTGACACCTCTACAAATGGATCTTTCTAATACTTGTGGGCCTTCTTCACAAATTAAGGGTCAGCATGGTGTGTTGCCAACTTCACAAATTATTCAGAAGATTTGAGTTTCAGCTGTAGGATGAAATGAGTTCAGGGGCTGGATGCAGGTGGTGGTTGAACAACAATGTGAATATATTTAATGCCACTGAACTGTACACTTAAAATGGTTAAAATGGTAGATTTTATGGGATATATATTTTACCACAATAAAAACTATTTTAAAAGGCATCCTATGAGTTAAATAGTCAATGGGCTATATTAGTAGTGCATGAGCTACACAGCCTTGTGTTACTTTTTTTCTCTCTGATTTTAATTGGGTCTGATTATTGGTAATATTGGTAATATTTGGTAATATTTGAGCAACTTGCTTCTAACTGTAGGGTTTTGAAAAAAACCATTTTTTGTGGATTCTTAAATATTGTAGTAAATGGAAACGCCCTTTTTATGGGAGCCTGTGCTGGGGCTTCACAGTCACACAGAGTTGCCTTTGAGAACAAGAATCAGTTATAAACTATGTAAAGTTGGGTAATCTAACTTCTCAAAGTTCTAGCTTTCTCATTTGTAAAATTTTAATTGGGTCTGAGTTTTAATAATAAAACCTTTATTCTGAAGGTTTTATTATATTTTTCAGAATAATAAGACTCCTAAGGTTAATGTTTTTAGTCTGATGTTATTGATTCAGTCCCATTAGTGTGAGGGAGAAGCCTTCTGTGGTATGATGCCACTAGGAACACAGAGGTACCACCTGTCAAGAAGGATTTAAGCCATTGTTGCGGTGACTGAGTGAGATGCCAGTACTCTAAGTTCCATGGGCAAACACGTGACCTTGAGAAATAGCAGAAAAGATTTTAACACATATTTATGTTAGATTAAATGGGTAACTGCCTGGGAATTTTATAGAGTATCCAAAATAGCAACTGTGGGTGAGTGTTATCAAATGATTAAGCATGGAAGTGAAGTACAATAACCATACTCTTTAAGGAGAAGCCCTTCCAGCTCTCTTCCCCACTTTGTGCCCTAATCTGGTGACAACATCTTAGAAAGCACTTGTGATGATATGAATAATAATGGGGCTGATCCAGAATCTAACTGATTTATTCCACAGTAATGGTTCTGTTTTGTCAGGGATTCTGTCGTTTTGTCAAATTTAAAATCAATATAGCACTTCAGTATCATTTTGTTGTTGTAATAGTGAAAATCCTCAGTGATTTCTTTAAGCTGCTCTGTCTTTTAAGAGAACCTCTACCACAGCCCCAAAGGGGACCCTGTCAGTGAAAGTCTGGTTTACCAGCCAAATCCTCAGATATCTCTCTAGTTCCCCATTGGCTGTGAGTCATTTGACCTTCTGAAACAGCTGCCCTAGAATTGTACAGATATCTTAAAAGGTATTAACTTTCATTTTTAAATCAGTGACATTGACAAATCAGAGAAGTGTGCTGGTCTAAGCAGTTTTGTTTCAAGCAGTATCCTCTGTTTTACTTCTATCCCAGACACTGATGAGCAGGGGTGTTTTTCTACACTGAAACTTTGGCTATAGTGATAAATTATCTCAATAGGAAGTATAACCCTCTATATAATTAGTGAAAGTTTTACTTAAACAAAAGTGAATATTCTAGTTTCTGATGAACATTCACTAGATAATGGTTTTCTTGTTTAGAGAGTGTATCTTTGTATGCCTCTGTAGAAAATTCCTGTGAGCTGCTTTTTTTTCCTCTTTCATTGTGATCAATTTTTTTAACGGATTATTCTATTTTAGGTAATATTTGAGCAACTTTCTTTTAACTGTAGGCTTTTGAAAAATCAGTTTTTGTGGATTTTTAAATATTACAGTAAATGGAAATGCCCTTTTTATGGGAGCCTGTGCTGGGGCTTCACAGTCACGCAGAGTTGCCTTTGAGAACAAGAATCAGTTATAAACTATGTAAAGTTGGGTGATTTAACTTCTCAAAGTTCTAGCTTTCTCATTTATAAAATGAGCATAATTGTGTGAGGAAAAATAAGATTATCCACTTAATGAGCTTAACTCTGTGCTTGGCAGATAATAAGCTCCCATAAGACCTTTGTTGTTATATTTTTTCTTCTTATCTCTGTTGCAGCACTTTTCTATTATTTAAAACTTTTTCTATCAAGCAGTATGGTCTGTTATTCTTTCATATAGTTTTGTTCACTTATAGCATACTATGTCAATTTTCATAAACAAGACTGTATCTATATAGATACATGTAATAGAACATGAATATGTGTATCAAACACTGTAAAATTTAAATTTATACATATATAAGGATGCCTATAAAATGACTCATATTGACTATATTTCTTCAAATTGATGAGTTTCTAGAAGGCAAAATAAAAATAACTAGTAGGGAAAGCAAATAGAAAATTTTGTTTGACTCCGTCTTAGGAGTTCAAGGAGAGAGGCCTGACTAAAATTTCTATTCAGAGATACAAAAATGTTTTAATACTTATACGTCACAGTATATTATCAATGCAACACCTCATAATCTCTTTTCCTCTTTCCCTCTTAATGGTGCTATCATATTCTCAAATTCTATGTATGACTTTTTTTATAATTTGGTCTCAGAGAGGCTGAGTTTAGAGTTTCCTTTATTTTGTGGCAATAAAGATTTATTTATTCCTTCATTCCTGTAACCCTGAAAAAGAATTTTAGGCCCTTCTCACTAGGGTCTATCCTTATTTTCCTATGATACAAAGAGTATTTCAATTAGAGAAGAGACTAAACAAGAGGCATAAAAAATAGGAACCAAGTAAAAATTATTATTATTTGATCCTTGAAAACGCACATAAGAAAATCACCTAGGCCGGCGTGGTGCCTCATGCCTGTAATCCCAGCACTTTGGGAGGTTGATCACCTTGATGTCAGGAGTTCGAGACCAGCCTGGCCAACATGCTGAAACCCCATCTCTACTAAAAATACAAAAAAATTAGCCAGACGTGGTGGCGGGCGCCTGTAATCCCAGCTACTCGGAAGGCTGAGTCAGGAGAATCACTTGAACCCGGGAGGCAGAGGTTGTGGTGAGCCGAGATCATGCCACTGCTCTCTAGCCTGGGCAACAAGAGTGAAACTCTGTCTCAAAAAAAAAAAAAAAAGATTCAACGGCTCACAGTTTTTAATACTTTTTTTTGGAAATTAATTTAATAATCAGAAATACCTCCCTTTGTATAAGTTATCAGTTAAAATGAAAAGAAGCAAATACTGTTTATAATAGATTTAGAAGGCATAAAATACCACTGGCAGGCAGGAGAGGGGTAAGAAATGTACAAGCTACATGGGAAAAGAAAAGGTTAAAACATTACTATGAGGTATATAAAGAGATCTGCGTAAATTCTCATTTATGGATATGAAGACTCAGTAATGTAAAGATATTAATCCTCTCTAATTTAACCCATAATAAAATGATGTAATTCAAAATTTTACTTTGAAGAATGTTCATTCAAGAATAAACAAGGCAAGTGTACAGATGCCAGCAAGATGGTGAAATAGGACATTCGTCTGCAGAATCATCAATTTGAACCACTGTTGACATCTGAAAATACCACCAAAAGAGCTAAGTGAACTTAAAGAAAATAGAAAAATAATTCAAAATAGCCAAAGCAATCCAAAGCAAAAAGAACAAAGCCAGAGGTATCACATTACCCAACTTCAAACTAAAAGGTTACAGTAACCTCAACAGTCTGGTACTGGTATTAAAACAGGCACATAGAACAATGGAACAGAATAGAGAACCCAGAAATAAAGCTGCATACCTACAGCCATCTAATCTTTGACAAAGTCAACAAACATAAGCAATGGGGAAAGGACTATCTATTCAATAAATAGTGTTAAGATCACTGGTGAGCCATATGCAGAAGAATGAAGCTAGAACCCTACATTTTACCATATATGAAACTGAACTCAAGGTGGATCAAATATTTAAATGTAAGACCTCAAACTGTAAGAATCCTAGAAGAAAACCTATGGAACACCATTCTGGACATTGGCCTTGGGAAAGGATTTATAAGTCCTAAAAGCAATTGCAACAAAAACAAAAATTGACAAGTGGGATCCAGTTAGACTAAAGAGCTTCTGCACAGCAAAAGAAACTATCAACAAAGTAAACAGACAACGTACAGAAAGGGAGAAAATATTTGCAAACTATGCATCCAACAAAGGTTTAATATTCAAAATTTATGAGGAACTTAAGCAATTAGGCAAGCAAAAAGCAAACAACCCCACTTAAAAATGTACAAAATATATGAACAAACATTTCTCAAAAGAAGGCATAAACATGGCCAATAAACATATGAAAAAGTGTTCCACATCACTTATCATCAGAGAAATGCAAATTAAAACCACAGTAAGATACCATCTCATACCAGTCAGAATGGCTATTACTAAAAAGTCAAAAAACAACAAATGCTGGTGAGGCTGTGGAGAAAAGGGAACACTTACATACTGTTGGTGGGAATGTAAATTAGTTCAGCAACTGTGGAAAAAAATTTGGAGATTTCTCAAAGAACTTAAAAGAGAACTACCATTCAACCTAGCAATCCCATTACTGGGTAGATATCCAAAAGAAATCTAATCATTCTACCAAAAAGACACATGCACTTGTGTGTTCATCATGGCAGTATTCACAATAGCAAAGACATGGAATCAACCTTGGTGCTTATCAGTAGTGGATTGAATAAAGAAAATATGGTATATATATATACACACATATACATACACACCATGGAATACTATGCAGCCATAAAAAGTAATGAAATCATGTCCTTTGTAGCACCATGGACGCAGTTGGAGGCCATTATCCCAAGTGAATTAACACAGGAACAGAAAATCAAATACTGCATGTTTGCACTTGTACGTAGAAGCCAAACATTGATAACTCATGGATATAAGGATGGCAACAATAGACACTAGAGACTACTGGAGGGGAAAAGGAGGGAGTGGGACAGTGGTTGAAAAACTAACTGTTTAGTTAGTACCTGGGTGAAGGGATCATTCATACCCCAAACCTCAGCATTACACAATATACCTAGGTAACAAACCTGCGTATGTACCTCCTGAATCTAAAATAAATGTTGGAAAAAACTAGAGATCTGGAACTGGGACTGCTCTGGTTTGAATGTGTCCCTCAAAATTTATGTTATGAGGGAGTGGGTTTCTTATAAAAGGACCCTACTTTTGTCTCTCTCTCACCCATGTGATGCCTTCTGCCTTGTTATGATACAGCAAGAAGGCCTTCACAGATGCCACCACCTTGATCTTCAGCATCCCAGTCTCCAGAACTGTTACAAGTAAATTTCTGTTTATCTAAAAAAGGAAAAATAATTCAAAAATTAGTAAGTCATTAAATGAATAAAATGAGAAAATTAAAGATTGAAATTATACAAAAAAACTAACAAATTCTGGAGCTGAGAAATGCATGAATGAAATGAAAATTGCAATAGAGAATGTCAACAGCAGAATCAATGAAGCAGAAGAAAGGCTCTGAACTCAAAGACAGTTTAGTGAAATTATACAATTGGAGAAAAAAGAATATAAAGTAATGAAGAATGCTTATGGAACTTACAGGAAAGCATCAAAAGAACAAAACTTAAAAGTATGGACACTGAAAAAGGAGAATAGAGGGACAAAGTTCTAGAAAGTTTAGTTAAAGAAACAATAGGCTGGGTGTCGTGGCTCATACCTATAATGTCAGCGCTTTGGGAGGCCGAGGTGGGAGAGTCGCTTGAGCCCAGGAGTTTGAGGTTGCAGTGAGCTATGATCATGCTATTGCACTCCAGCCTGGCTAATAGAGCAAGTTTTTATTGTAAAGAAAGAGATAGAGGGATAGAGAGAGAGAGGAAACAGTAGCAGAAACAAGGAAGGAGGGAGGGAGCAAAGAAGAAAGTAAGACAGGAAGGAAGGAAAAAAGGCAGTCAGGAAGGCAGGCAGAAAATGTTTTATCAATCTGGGGGAAAATTTACATTTTCATACACAGGAAGGTCAAAGGTGTCTAATCAGATTCAATCCAAGCAAGACTACACCAAGACATATTATTATCAAACTTTGAAAATTCAAGGACAAAAAGAGTATTCTGCAGCAAAAGAGCATCAAGACAAAAGAAGCATGTCACATATAAGGGAATTCCATTAATACTAGAAGCAGACATCACAGCAGAAACCTTACAGGCCAGGGGAGAGCGGGATGATGTATTCCAGTGCTGAAAGGAAAAAAACAAAACATAACAAAAACTGTCAACCAAGAATACACAGCAAAGCTCTTCTACAGAAGGAAAAGAGAAAAGGACTTTTGCAGAGACACACACACACAAAGTCAAGAGTTCATTACTCTCAGAAGTGTCTTACAAGAAATGCTAAAGGAAGTTCTTCAGGCTGAAAGAAAAGGATGTTAATTAGTAACACAAAAATATAAGAAAGTTTGAAACTCACTAGTAAAAGTAAGTACAAAAAGTTTAAGTCAAAAGTAAGTACAAAAGTAAGTCAAATTTTAAAACTGTGGTGGTAGTGTTTAAGTAACATTTATTACAGTGGTTAAAACAAACTATTAAAAATAGTTAAAGCTGCAATAATTCATTAAGGGTTACACAATATAAAAAGCATCAAAAACAAAGTGTGGGTGGGTAAAAATGTTGAATTTTTGTGTGTGATCATGGTTAAGTTGTATTCAAGTTAAAAAAACTTGCTGCAACCCTAAGATATTTTATGTCAGCCTCCTGGTAACCACAAAGCAAAAACCTGTACTAGATATACAGAAAATACAAAGTAAGGAATTAAAGCATGCCACTATAGAAAATTGCCTAATCACAAAGGAAGACGGAAAGAGAAGGAAGGAACAAAGGAAAACAAAGCTAGAAAGAATGAACTAAAGGGCTATAGTCAGGAAACAAAGCCAGAGAAGAATGAACTAAATGACTGTAGTCAATTTTTACCTGGCAACAATTACCTTAAATGTAAATAAATTAAACTATTCAATCAGAAGACATAGTGTGACTTAATGGATTATAAAAACCAGACCCAGCTCTGTGCTACACACAGGGAACTCACT
Source organism: Homo sapiens (assembly GCF_000001405.40). NCBI lineage: Eukaryota > Metazoa > Chordata > Mammalia > Primates > Hominidae > Homo > Homo sapiens. Next base: position 39,224,601 of record NC_000009.12, on the reverse strand, counting down.
TCACTTATAAGGACACACACAGACTGAAAGCAAAGGGATGGAAAAAAGATACTCCATGCAAAGGAAACCAATAAAGAGCAGAAGTAGCTGTACTTATACCAGATAAAATAGATTTTAAGTCCAAAACTGCCACAAGAGACAAAGTCAGTATGTAATGCTAAAGGGGGCTGGGCGCAGTGGCTCACACCTGTAATCCCAGCACTTTGAGAGGCCGAGGTGGGTGGATCATGAGGTCAGGAGTTCAAGACCAGCCTGACCAACGTGGTGAAACCCCATCTCTACTAAAAAAATACAAAACAATTAGTCGGGCATGGTGGCACACACCTGTAATCCCAGCTACTCAGGAGGCTGGGTCAAGAGAATCACTTGAACCCAGGAGGTGGAGGTTGCAGTGAGCTGAGATTGCACCACTGCACTCCAGCCTGGGCCACAGAGCAAGACTCCGTCTCAAAAAAAAAAAAAAAAAAAAAAAAAAGAAGAAGGATAACGGGATAAGTTAACCCAGAGAATGTAACACTTGTAAATATGTGTGCACCAAATGATGGAATATCTGAATATATAAGGCAAATACTAACAGATCTGAAGGGAGGGGGACTTAATAGGAGGGAAATTCTATATCCTATTTTCAGCAATAGACAGCTCATCCAGACAGAAAATCAGTAAGGAAAAATTAGACTTAAACTATGTGTTAGACCAAATGGACCTACCAGACATAAACTGAACATTGCATCCAACAGCAGCAGAAGACACCTTTTTCAAAAGCACACAGAGAACATTCTCCAGGATAGATCATATGTTAGGCCACAAAACAAGTCTTAATAAATTTAAGGAGATTGAAATCGTATCAGTTATACTTTCTGACCACAATGGTATGATTCTAGAAATCAGTAACTGAAGGAATTTCGGAAAATTTGGCTGGGCGTGGTGGCTCACGCCTGTAATCCCAGCACTTTGGGAGGCCAAGGTGGGCAGATCACGAGATCAGGAGATCGAGACCATTCTGGACAACATGATGAAACCCCATCTCTTCTAAAATACAAAAATCAGCTGGGCGTGGTGCACGCCTGCAGTCCCAGCTACTTGGGAGGCTGAGGTAGGGGAATTGCTTGAGCCCAGGAGGTAGAGATTGCAGTGAGCCAAGCTCATGCCACTGCACTGCAGCCTGGTGACAGAGCGAGACTGTCTCAAAAAAAAAAAAAAAAAAGAAAAAAAATTCAGAAATACATGGAAATGAAACAACATGCTCCTGAACAACCAGTGGGTCAAAGAAGAAATTTAAAGGGAAATTTTAAAATGTCTTTAGACAAACAAAAATTGACCCATGCCATATCAAGACACATGGGATACAGCAAAAGCAATTCTAAGTTTATAGCAATAATGGCCTACATCAGCAAGGAAGAAAGATATCAAATAAACAACCAAACATTACACCCCAAGGAACTAGAATAACAAGAACAAACTAAGCTCAAAGTTAAAGAAGGAAAGAAATAATAAAGATCAGAGCAGAAACAAATAAAATACAGACTAGAAAAACAATTAAAAAATCCATAAAACTAAAAGTCAGGTTTTTAAAAATATATAAATATATATAAAAATATAACATATAAACAAAATAGACAAATCTTTAAGAAAAAAGAAGTCTCAAAATCAGAAATGAAAGAGGCAACATTACAACCAATATTACAGAAATACAAAGGATCTTAACAGACTACTATGAATAAGTATACATCAACAAATTGGACAACCTAGAAGTGGATAAATTTCTGGACATATACAACCTGCCAAAACTGAACCATAAAAAAAAGAAAATCTGAGCAAACCAATAATAAGCAATAAAATTGAATCAGTAGTAAAAAGCTCTAATTAAATAAAGACCTAGGCCCTGATGGCTTCACTGCTGAATTTTACGAGGCATTTAAAGAACTAATACTAATTATTCTCAAACACTTCCAAAAAATGGAAGAGAAGGGAATACTTTCAAACTCATTTTATAAAACCAGCATTATCCTGATACCAAACTCAGAAAGTACACTACAAAAAAAGACAATTATAGGCCAATATCCTCATGAGCATAAATGCAAAAACTCTATGAAATTTTAGCAAACCAAATTCAACAGCATATTAGAAAGATCATTCATGATAATCAAGTGAGATTTATCTGTGGGATGAATTGATGGTCCAATATAGGCAAATCTATAAATGTAACATATCATGTTAATAGAACAAAGGACAAAAAACATGTGATTATCTCAATGGACACAGCAGAAGCATTTGACAAAATCTCTAACAACCTTTTATTCTAAAATCTCTCAACATATTGGGTGTAAAGAGGACAATATAGCTCGACAAAATAAAGGTCACATATGACAAACCCTCAGCTAACATCTTATTCAGCGGTGAAAAGTTGAAAACTCTTCCTCTGAGATCCAAACAAGACAAGGATGCCCACTCTCACCACTTCTTTCAACACAGTACTGAAAGTTCTATCCAGAGCAATTAGACAAGAAAAAGAAGGAAAAAACATCCAAATTTGAAGAAAACAGAATTTAAATTGTCCCTCTTTGCAGATGACATGATCTTATACATAGAAAGCCCTAAAGACTTCAACAAAAAATTATTAGAACTAATGAATAAATTTCAGGCCAGGCATGATGGCTTATGCTTGTAATCTCAGCACTTTGGGAGGCCAAAGTAGGAAGATCACTTGACTCCAGTGGTTTGAGACCTGGACAACATGGCAAGACCCCCATTTCTACAAAAAAATAAACAACGAGCTGGGCATGGTGGCATGTGCCTGTGGTCCCAGATACTCAGGAGGCTGAGGTGGGAGGATCACTTGAGCCCAGGAGGTTCAGGCGGCAGTGAGCTGTGATAGTGCCACTGCACTCCAGCCTGGATGACAGAGCAAGACTCTCAAAAGAAAATAACCCCAAATAACTAATAAATAAATTCAATAAAGTTATAGTACAACATCAACAGAAAAATCAGTTATGTGGTCTATATACTAATAATGAAGTGTCTGAAATCAAGAAAATAATCCAATAAGATACTTATGAATAAATTTAACCAAGGTGGTGAAAGAGTTGTACACTGAGGTTTACAGAATTTTATAGTAGACTATAAAATATTGATGAAAGAACTTAAAGATGACAGGAATCGAAAGATATCCCCATGTTCATGGATTGGAAGAATTAATATTAAAATATTCATAATACCTAAGGTGATCTACAGATTCAGTGCATTACCTATGAAAATTCTAATGACATTTTCCACATAAATAGAGAAAATGATCCTAAAATTTGTGTGTAACCACAAAGGACCTCCAATAACCAAAGCAATCTTGAGCGTAAAGAACAAAGCTGGAGGTATCACACTATCTGACATCAAAATGTACTACAAAGCTGTAGCAATCAAAATAGCATGGTACTGACATAAAAACAGACACATACATAGACCAGTGGAACACAATAGAGAGCCCAGAACTAAATCCAGGCATTTATTGTCTGTTGATTTTTGACAGAGGTGCTAAGAATACACAATGAAGAAAGTTTAGTTTCTTCAGTAAATGGTATTGGGTAAATGGGATATACATGCTTAACAGAATGAAATTAGACCCTTATCTCACACTATATGCAAAAATCAACACAAAATGGGTTAAAGAGTTAAACTTATGACCCATAACTGTGAAACTACTAAGAGAAAACACAGGGGAAAAGCTCCATGATATTGGTCTAGGAAATCATTTTCTGGATACAACCCCAAAAGCATTGGCAATAAAAGCAAAATTAGACAGATTAGGTTATTTCAAACTAATTTTCTGCACCACATAGGAAACAATCAGCAGAGTAAAAAGACAACCTATGGGATCGGAGGAAATATTTTCAAACAATACATCTGATAAGGGGTTAATATTTAAAATACATAGGCAACTCAAACATCTCAATAGCAAGAAAACAAATAACTGTGCTTTTTAAAAATGGGCAAAAGACCTGAAAAGACATTTCTCAAGAAAGATATATGCGTGGCCAACAGGTATATGAAAAAATACTCAATATCACAAATCATCGGGGAAATGCAAGTTAGAACCACAATGAGATATCACCTCGTACTTGTTAGAATGGTTATTATCAAAAAGACAAAAGATAACAAGTGTCGATGAAGATATGAAGAAAAGAGGATCCCTGTATACTGTTGGTGGCAATGTAAATTTGTATATCCATTATGGAAAGCAGTAGGGAGGTTCCTCAAAAAATCAAAAATAGAATTACCAAATGATTCAGCAATCCCACTATTGTGTATGTATCCAAAGGAAATTAAATCCGTATGTCTTTTAGATATCTGTACAACCATGTTCATTGCAGTATTATTCATAATAGCCAAGATTTGGAATCAACTGAAGTGTCCATCTGTGGATGAATGGATAAGGAAAATGTGGTGTACATACACAATGGAATGCTATTTGGCCATAAAATAAAAGAAATCCTATTTATTTGTGAGAACATAGATGAACCTGGAGGACATTATGTTCGGTGTAATAAGTCAGGCACAGAAAGACCAATACTACAGGATCCAGCTTATATGTGGAGTCTAAAAATGTTGAGCCCATAGAAGCAGAAGGTGGAATAGTTGTTACCAGGGACTAGCGAGTTTGGGAGTTGGGGAGATGTTGGTCAAAGGATACAAAATTTCAGTTATGTAGGAGGAATAAGTTCAAGATATCTATTGCACAAAATGGTGACTATAGTTAATAACAAAGTACTGTGTTCTTGAAAATTGCTGAGAATAGATTTTTAGTTTTCTCACCACAAAAATAAGTATGTGAGGTAATGCATATTTAATTAGCTTGATGTACTCATTCAATTATGTATGCATGTTTCAAAACATCAAGTTGTACATAATGCATACATATTTTATTCGTCACATTTAAAAAAATTAATTTTCATAAAAGGATAAGCAGTACAATTGGCAACAAGAAATTGAAAAAGGAGTTAGTCTTACCAATTAGAAAAATACCTAGAGGCTGGACGCGGTGGCTCACGCCTGTAATTCCAGCACTTTGAGAGGCTGAGTTGGGCAGATCACCTGAGGACAGGAGTTCGAGAGCAGCCTAGCTGACGTGGTGAAACCCTGTCTCTACTAAAAATACAGAAATTAGCTGGGTGTGGTGGCGTGCTCCTGTAATTCCAGCTACTTGGTATGCTGAGGCAGGAGAATCTCTTGAACCCTGGAGGTGGAGTTTGCAGTGAGACAAGATTGCGCCACTGCACTCTAGGCTGAGTGACAGAGTGAGTGAGAGTCTGTCTCAAAAAAAAAAAAAGTACATAATAAAGGTTGATTCTATATTTTAGTATGCTTGATATTAATAGCAGTGGAAAAAATAGTATTCACTAACAAATTCAAATATATATGCTGATAAAAGATGTGGCATTTTAAATTAGTAAGAAAAAAATTAATAAATGGTACTGGGGAAACTAGGTATCCCTCAGGAAAAAATTAATAAAACTGGACTATTACCCTATTCCTTGCATCAAAGTAGATTGTAGGTGAATTAAAGATTTTAAAGTAGCCACAGAAACAGTTCTAGAAGATTGTGGGAGAGGTTTGCATATATAATGTGGGAGCGGGCATGTATTTCTATGCAAGATGTAAAACCAAGACCACAGTAAAGGGACTAATAAATGAAATTATTTGAAACTTACCAGAAGATATCAATTTATGAATGGGAAATAATATTTTAATATACATGATAGTTTTTTTATAAAGTGCTCTTATACATCAATGGATAAAGATTAAAAAAAAGCAATGTAAAATTGAGAAGGATTGATAAGCATTCCACATGAAGAAAAAATAGTTTATAAATTTATGAGATAATGCTTGGCACGGTGGCTCACATCCGTAATTCCAGCACTTTGGAAGGCCGAGGTGGGCATATCACGAGGTTAGGAGATCGAGACCATCCTGGCTAACCCGGTGAAACCCCATCTCTACTAAAAATACAAAAAATTAGCCAGGTGTGGTGGCGGGTGCCTGTAGTCCCAGCTACTCAGGAGGCTGAGGCAGGAGAATGCTGTGAACCCGGGAGGTGGAGCTTGCAGTGAGCCGAGATTGCGTCACTGCACTCCAGCCTGGGCGACAGAGCAAGACTCCGTCTCAAATAATAATAATAATAATAATAATAATAATAATAATAAATTCATGAGATAATATTCAACCTTGTTTATAAGTTAAAGAAATGCAAATTAAAACAGCAGTGAGGTACTACTCAATTGATTAGAACAACTAAAACATTTACTGAGGCTGTGTTGCTTAGGACATTACTTTCAACTGTACTTTCATAGTTAATGCATTAAATTTAAAGTCTCTTAAAATCTAAATAGTATGCAAACATGCAATATTATGGATATCATTGCTCAGCATAAGGCTCAGGTTAAAAATAATCAGTTTTAAGAATAAATTTAAGTATGAAGACATTATGTATCTTGAGTGCTTACTGTGCACCAAACATGATTCTTTGTGCTTTGTATATATTAAAATCCTCGCAGAACTCTATGAGCTAGATACTAATATTCTTCCCAGATGAAAACAAGGAAAGCAAAAAGACAGGCTTTATTTATTTGCCCCAATTATAGAGCTAGTTAGTGGTAGCACAATAATTTGAACCCAAGTGGCCTGGCTGCAGAATCTTTACTCACAACCCCTCACCACATCTGGGAATGTTTTAGGTCTGTTTCATGTGTGCACATGAAAAGGTAAAACTCAGATGATTCAATTTCAGGAACTGGTGCCTTTTTATGAATATGATTTCTTGAAGAACCATTTGGCACTATCTATAAAATTAAAGTTCCAAAAAATGATCAACTTGCAGTGTAGTGAATGGAGGTAATGCAAAAAGAGTGATGCTTTCAGTTTCTCTCAATGTATAGTTTACATTAAGCAGCAATGCTACTTCTAGGAATTTATCCCACAGTCATAGTGTAATATATGCATATGTGCATGAAGAGATTAACATTTTATGAATATAATGGTAAATATGTTAGTACAGTTCTCTTTCAGTGGTCATGGTACATTTATACTCTGGAATAGCATGCAGCCTTGAGAAATAATGAGGTAAACATACTTACTGTGAATGAACTTCCAAGATATTTTTCTAAAATCAAAGAATAAGGTAAGATATTCTCCCATTTGAAATTCCCACAATGAATATATATATATATATATATATATATATATATATATATATATACTCATGTAAATATGAAATATTTCTAGAAGGACACATAAGAAAAATAAGAAAAATCATAGCATTTTTCCCCTCTGGGTAATGGGAATGGGATAAAAATATAAAATGGATGCAGATGTGGTTTGAACTATGTGAATCGTATGGCTTTTCAATTAAAAACAAATTGAAATAAACGTAAAAAATAATAATAAGTAGTGATTTTAATGCAATTCTTTTTCCCATTGAAATTTCTCCAGGATGAAAGCCAATCGCTAATGCTCAGTATACTGATATAAAACCTGAAAGTGAACATCAAGACCTTATCTTGATGTGAGAGTGAAGGGCAGTGGCTGGGATGTGTGGGTATCAGTGTACTGGTAAGAAGAAAGACTTTCGTGGGCTTTCAAATGCGAAGGAACAGCCTGGATGTCAGGAGGAGTCCCAGCTAGGGAGGTCATTTGGTATAGCACAGAAGGAGCTTATTAGATTAAAAAAAAACAACGGCTACAAAACTGTATCTCAAGTTAAGTGTCATCCTAACTTTGTAACATTTATTAGTGGATATAACCCAATGGAAAGAAATAGGAGCCTTCAAATTCTAATTGTAATATTTATTTTAGTGGTGTTTTTTAAATTAATGAATCTTTTTTTCTCGTGTTTAATGTTGAATGAATGATACTTATTCATGGCCTGGGTCATCAGTCCTTGACCATCACGTGATGTGGTGCAGACAGCACCTGGCTAAGAGTAACTAACTGAGTGCTGTTTCTAAAATAGCCCCTAACAAACACCTGGCCAAGCACAAGGTGCTCAACACCTGTGAGCTTCCTCCCCTTCGATTACAAAATGCAGGGTGGATGTGGAATCCAGTCACGCACTATAAGGCTGAACCTTGTGAATGTGCTGATATCTAAGTATCTTGACCTACAAAAACAGCAATTTCATATGATCAAGCTAATAAATATACTTTGACTTTCAGGTTTAAAATCACCCATTTCTGCAGCAAAACTGTAAAGGGAGGGCAACACCAGTTTTCCACAGGGGCAGCTGCAGTTGAGACTAACAAGTTCCTATCTAAGTTCTCCTCATTTTTAAATTCACATGGTGTAACTATTTCTCATGCAAACACACACACACACACACACGCACAGAAGTGCTGCAACAAGCTACAATGAAGAAATCCCAAAGTAGACTGAACAATGGGTAATCTACAATAAGGAAGCAGGATGATGTAAATCTTAATATTTTATTGTGCTCTAAAGTAGTATTGAAGTTCAAAGTAAGTTGGCTTTGCTCAGTCCTCTACTTTCTCATCAACCTTTGTGTTGATAGACTCCCAGAGTTCTCACAGGGGATCCATTTGGAAGGGGAAAATGCATCAATACAAGTCTGCCATGGTTTGGGTGGGTGTGCTGGGTAAACCTTGTGAAGAAAGGCAGCGCATCGCTGTCTCAAAATATATGGCTTTGCTGTTGGAGCAGCCCACTCTGTCTGCGACTTTAACCCGGCTTTCTTCTAGGATGGCTTCCTTTTGCATTTCAGCTGCTGACTCGGTTTCTAAGTTGCTGCTACTAGTCAGTCACTAGAGTTTTGCATCTTTACTCTCATGACCATTTCTCCAGTTCTTGCTTTCCTTTGGTGTCAGGTATCACCCCCAAACGTTTGTCATCTCATCACCTCTGAATTAGGTCCTTTGACCAAGAGTAAAGCCATGTGTTTGCCGACTGGTCTCCACCTCAGAAATATTTACTAATTTCTCTTCTGTCATGTAAACGACTTCTGAGATGGCTCCATTTCCAGATGCCTTTCTGAATTACCATGAGCTACAATGGCTTGCCTACTCTTTGCCTGCCAGTATTTGAAACTCAGTTATTTTCCATTCTATCTTACAATTATTCTATGCTGGCCTTTCCCCCAAATTATACGTATGACATCAATTCATGACAAATCTAATTTTATATGCCACTGGCTAAAACATGTCATTTAGGCTATCTTTACATTCAGAATATTATTGCTCATTTCAGATTGTGAATTCCTAATATATGAGTCCCTTTATCAGAAGCATTTGAACCATCTTGCATAGGGGCTGGGAATACTGAGGCTGAGACCTGTTGGGCTCCATTCCTAGGAGGTTAAGGTATTCTTAGTCACAGGATGAGACAAGAGGTCGGCGTAAGATACAGGTCACAAATACCTTGCTGATAAAACAGGATACGGTAAAGAAGCTGGCCAAATCCCACCAAAACCAAGAAGGCTATGAGAGTGACCTCTGGTCATCCTTATTGCTCAGTATAAGTTAATTATAATTCATTAGCATGCTAAAAGACACTTCCACCAGCGCCATGACAGTTTACAAGCGCCATGACAGTTTACAAATGCCATGGCAACGTCCAGAAGTTATGCCATGTGGTCTAAAGTGGGGAGGAACCCTCAGTTCTGGGAATTGCCTGCCCCTTTCTTGGAACACTCATGAATAATCCACCCCTTGTTTAGCATATAATAAAGAAATAACTATATTTATTTGAGCAGCCCATGCTGCTGCTCTGCCTCTGGAGTAGCCATTCTTTCATTCCTTTACTTTCTTAATAAACTTGCTTTCACTTTCTGGACTTGTCCCAATTTGTTTCTTGCACAAGGTCCAAGAACCCTTTTTTGGGATCTGGATCGGGACCCCTTTCAGGTAATACCTTATTTCCTCATATGGATAGATTCTTAAATCATCTCCACAATGAATATTTTCCTAATACTTTAAAAAATAATATGGATAAGAATAAATATAAATAATAATGCCATATTCTTAATGACTCTCTTTTTGATTAAAACGTAATATTATATCTCATTCCGTCACTGCTGGATTACCTTACAGAGGTTTCTGCTTATAAAGAGACATGCGTTTCTCAAGGAAAACTCACCCTCATAAATAGCAGGACCTGAACAACATGGCTTCTCTGCCATCCGGGTTTCCATTTCCTGTCTAAATAGGCTTTGCATAAAATCCTTTGTTTATTGCGTTAGAAATATATTCTTCCTTTCGCAGATGTCCTTGTGGAATAACCTTTGGTGCTGTGGAAAAGATTCAAGTGTCAAGACACTAGTTCTGAAGTAGCCGATTGGTGTCAAGCATGAGAATAAAAGATGGGCATTAAAAACATTAGCACTTAACCTCAGTCAGGATTTTGTCTGTGAAACAGAAAAAATAGAAGAGAAGTCAGATTTGATCTGCATTCTGAAAATGAGAATTTTTTTTATATTTAAACTCCTCTTATTTTGTATTCCTTAATGTCCTTATTAATCATTCATATCAAATGGCTTGTCTTTCTTTCAGAGCCTTGAACATTTTAAAGACACCATGTCATTCTTTTTACAAGAGAGAGAAAAAATTACACAGTTGAAAGAGTTCCCAGGGGAGCTATTGTGCTACACTCTGGCAAAAGTTTTATTAGCTAAACTTCTGACTGAAAGGAAAAATAAATTCAGGTTTAGGAATGGCTTCTATTTATTGTAAGGAAGTTTGCAAAAATTACTGAAAAATATCCCAAGAACACAATGTAAATTTACTCTGGTGGTATTTTTTCCACCCTTGCTTCTCCAAAATAATAAAAAAAGTTAAACGGCCAATAAATTTACATTAACAATCAGTTGTCTACCCTTGAATCAGAATAAATTCATTACTTCGGTAATTAATTAAGCAAGCTCAAATGAAAACTAGGTTCTCCTGAAGAGCTTGCATGTCAGTATTGTCAAGTCACAGTTAAAACATCTCTAAACAGAGAAATTAGCCCTATCACATCTCATTAATTTGTACTATGGGTTTCTTTTATTGTTCTATTTAGAATCTTAATACTAAGATTTTTTTTCTTCATCTGAGCTAAATTCCTTAAGCTATGACACAAAATCTTTTGCGAAAATTATTTCTGAAAGGAAACTGCATTTGTGTGCTGTGACCGGGCAGAGTAAGCTGTAGCTACCTCTGAGTTCAGGTTCAGGAATATGCATTTCTTATCCTTCCCAAATCTTTTTTCATGTTACCTGCTTTGGGCATTGTTTGGAGCTTCTGGTTGCCAGAGGTCCTGTAGGATCACATCTTAGATCAAGGCAGGCCTACCTTCCAGAGCTGCAGAACACTGGGTACTGAGCTGGTCATCCTCACCCTTTCTCTCTTCTCTTCTCTTCTCTTCTCTTCTCTTCTCTCCTCTCCTTTCCTCTCCTTCCTCTCATCTCCTCTATCCCTTCCCCTCTGTGGATCCTTACCCTCCAGCTCCTTGGGTTGTGGCACCAAAAACGTGGCTGGATCTGGTACCCAAGCTAATGTGGTAGAGGAAAATAATTAGTGAAAACCATCAGCACACTCCCTCTGTTCTGGCTTCTTTGTGCATTTTAACAGTGGAGTCTGGAAATAATAGTCCCACTTCAGCTATTTAACCCAAGACTGACTTGAATGCTAGGAATGTCAAATCAGGTAGGGCAGAGTTTTGTCATCAGAGCAAGCAAATGTCAGGTGAATTGGAAGACAAAGCAGGACGTAGGTAAGAATGCAGAGTTTGAGTCAAATCAGTTGGGTTCAAATACTGGGTTCACTGTTTGCTAGCTGTATGAACTTGGATTAGCTGATTAACCACTTTGTACCTTGTTTCTTCATCTATATAATAGGTGTTATTATAGAACATACGTTATAGGATTATTGTGAAAATGAAAACAAAATAATCTGTATAAATTAGTGATAGATCTGAGTTCATCAGTAAATTGATGAATGGATAAGAGTAGATGCCTGATTGCAGAAGACTGAGGAGAGGAAATGAGTTAATGAAAAGGAGAGAGCAAATGATGAATACTTTCTGTAGAAGTCGGGATGCTTAGAAAAAGAGAGTGGGACAGCAGTAGCAAGAGGGACATACACGGGCAGGGGACAGTGTGAAGTGGAAGCTAGAGCGACTAGAGCCTGGTCACTGCCAGGGATGCTGGTGGAACTCCCATGCCCATCAACAGCTTGGAGACAGAAGAAACTCACAGAGTAGCTGAGGGGCAACGTCCCAGAGGGATGGCAGGGAAAAGGATCCAGAACACAGAAGACACTGAAAAACAATGATGTTTTCTGAAACAGGAGGAAAATAGCTAATTATATATGCTTTATTTTAAATTTCTGAAAGGGAGTTTATGGCTGTTCTTATCTACTTGATGTTCAGAAGATTCAAGCTCTGTGATATGAGTGATGAAGGATCCGGTGCTGTGGCTCATACCTGTAATCCCAACACTTTGGTAGGCTGAGGCAGGCAGATCCCTTGAGTGCAGGAGTCTGAGACCAGCCTGGGCAACACAGTGAGACCCCTGTCTCTACAAAAAAATACAAAAATTACCTAGTTGTAGTGGTGTGTGCCTGTAGTCCCAACTACTCGGAAAACTAAGGAAGATTGCTTGAGTCTGGAAGATCGAGGCTGCAATGAGCTGTGATCGAGCCAGTGCACTCCAGCCTGGGTGACAAAGCAAGAGCCTGTCTCAAAAACAAACAAACAAACAAAAAAATGATAAGGGAAAAGTGGAATTAAGGTAGGAAATGTTTATGTGTGTGTAGTAGAGGATGTGGAATGGAAAAAGATTTTGACAGGGAACAACAAGAGTCCCTAGTAATAGTACATTTCTACACTGGAAACACCTGCCCAGACCACTGCCCAGACCACTTAAATCCAAACCTCAAGAGAGTAGGAACTAAGCAGTATGTTAAAGAATCCACCTGATGATTCCCATATTCATTCAAGGCTAAGGACCATTGTCCTCGTAGCATACAGACCCCAGGATGGAGACCATGAATAGGGACCCCACCCGCACAGCTGGGGGGTTTTCCCCAGCAATAGTCAGCTGTTTGCAGAACCTGAGAAGGCAACTGAGAAGACTGACCTAGAATTAGCATCTGCAGGTATGCTGACATGCTGACATTGAGGATTTGGCTACATAAATGCTAACAAATTGGCAAAAGAGTCTGGAAAAAAAGGTACCATGCTGTTTGGGCAATGTGGAGAGGACAGTTAGATCAAGAGAGGCTGATAACGAAAATCAGAAAGAGTCAGCATGTCAAAGAAGCTATAGTGTGGGAGTGAGAGATCTGGGACTATCTAGAGGTGTACAGTCAACACAGAGTTTAAATAAGATTTCAAAGATGGTGCCCCCATCCCAGGTGGTGATGAGGTTGGCCGTGGGAATGAGGCTGAAGTGAAGCAGCTGGAGCTCATTTGCATCAGGGAACTTGAAGTCAAAGGATCTTATTGGTATTCCTCAAGGATGTTCATATTGTGGCTTTGGGATAGAGAAGATGGTGATAAGTGTAAGGGAATGACTCAGAGTTTAGAAAATGAATTACAATGGCCAGGAAGGGTAGAGGGAGCTATAGTCAAATGGCATTTAAGAGAAGAGATAACTTTCTCGTTGTGTGTGTTCAGTTACTTTTGTGAGGAAGTGCAATGTTATGAAATCAAAGGAGATCGGTGAAAATGTGTCCAGACCCCACCACAAATAAGATGAGGGGAAATGAGGAAACTGCATTCCTGAGTGTTACAAGGGCAGGGGTGTCCAAAAGAAAGACCTGAGTTTTAATCAAGGTGTAGATCAGTGTCTGACACCCAATATAACTGAGTATTTATTGTGTACCAGGTGAGATTTTTAGAATTTTAGCTGCATTCTATTATTTACTTTTTCATCATTAACTTGGGATGAAGAAATACAACTTTAGAGAGGCTCAGTAATGAGCTCATGTCACACAAGCAGAGCCTGTACCAGAAACCTTGGGCTGCCCACCTGGGGAGCCAGTCTCAATTTCTAGGCTACACCAGAATATTCTCAGATAAGATTAAAGTAGTCTTTTTTCTTCCTTCTTTCCTCCCCTCAACCTCATCCCCCTTCCCTCTCTTCTTTCTTTTTCCCTTCCCTCCCTTCCCTTCCCCTCCCCTCCTTTTCCCTTCCCTTCTTTATGAGGGTCAAAGAGTGCACAGAAAAAAAACTGTGGGGAAGGAAGAAGAGTAGTGGGGAGTGCATGGGCGGATGGGAGTGTAGAGAGCCCGGAAAAGGACAGATTGACCTGAGGATCAACGGCATACGATTTGAGGACATGTCCGGGGATGACAGGGATGAGAGGCCTGGGGGAATGGCTGCTCTCGGGTCTCTGATTGGAATTCTGGAGTGATGTGGTTTTGCTGCCATCCCAGCCCAGAACGTGTCTCTCTTCAGGGTTCCACACAGAAACATTAATCCCAAACTGTTTGGCACGCTGTGGATTCTATGGATTCTGTCTCCCTGGTGGGAGTGAGGGCGATGATCAGGCACAGCTGTTCCCCCTCAGGTTTGGAATTTATCAGTGAGGACGAGTTTAGTGCTGGGCAAAATGCATTTCCTGCCTTTTAAAGGAATATGGATTTGCTCAGCTGAGGACTCCAGGGCACTTTCATGCAGAAGGGGCAGGAGACTTAGTTCCAGGCCCAAGTTCTTTTCCCTCTGAGTCATAGGAACCCCCTCCTCCTTTCTAGTCCCTCTGGCATTTTGTCCTCTGAAGAAATCTGAACCCAAGTGGTTGGTCCTAAAACACTATCACAAACAGAGAACCAACTGAGAGAGGGAGAAAGGATGAAAAGGAGATGCAGGTGAGAGGGGCGAGGGGCAGGGTGCTGGTGCAGTTCACACCAGAAGGAAGGAAGGAAGGAAGGAAGGGAGGAAGGGGCAGAAGGGGGGAGGGGGGAAGGGGGAGGGAGAAGGGAGGAGTGGGAGAGGGGAGTGGGGGAGGGAGGGAGGGAGGGAGGGAAGGAAGGGAAGGAAGGAAGTCTGAATGTTTTCATCTCACCCCACCCTTCTCCAGGCTGGAGGCTGCAGAACTCGACTAGACTCATTTCTTTCTATTTATAATTTGCTATGTCATTTTAAAATTTAATTTTTAATTTATTTTCCCATTTAAACTTGCTTTGGGATTGAATTTGCTTTGGTTTTGCTTTCTGCTTTTTTCCTCCTGATTTTAGCTTTAGTGACCACTTACTTCTTATTATTGACACTTTACTTTGTATGCTGAAGGCTAATTTTCTGCCTTCATTCAAAGTCTGAACCCTGCAGCGATGCCAAATAATACAGAGAAGTCTGATTGTCCTTTATAAAAACAGCAAAATTTTTTAAGTTAAATCACATTCACCTTGAAAGAAATCATGTGCTCGATAAACCCTGAGAACTGCGGCCCCAGGGACTCACCGTGCCCACATTTTAGTTGTACTTTCACATGCAGATTAATGAATGTGACTAACATCTCATAACTCGTATTTTAAAATGTAATACAGTATTTAATATACATTGCACAATAAAATATCAGGAAGACTGAACCGTGGCTTACGTTGATGAGTACTGTGAGAAACAAATTCTACATTGGGGTGAAAATGAATAAAATTAGAAGTTGGGACTGAGAAGGACTGCAAGCTGCTGTGAGCAAGTGAACAGGAAACTGACCCTCTGCAGACTTGAGTAGGACCAGACGCAACTCTTCGAGAAAGACAGAGTAGGAAAACATCTTCCTTTTCCAAAGTGTATGTAGTTAGAGGCCCCCACCCAATGCATTTTCTTCCATTATTACCTATTTTTTAATATTCTATTTTTCAATCTAATTTCCCTTTTCCAGAGTGGAAAAACAACATTTAACTCTGGGAGAGTTTTAGTGTAATTTTGAAATCTGTTAAGCTTGCTGAAAGTTAAAAAGAAGGGAACATATTTTAAAATTTACATTTTGCTGTGTGGTTTCTGTGGTATGTGTAGGCCTGTTGGCTATGAAACACCCAGCCGCTATCACCTTTCAAACTCCTTTGTGAATTTATTAGAGCAAGACCCAAGAAACAAAAACAAAACCTTGTCTTCCTTATTTTCTTTCAACCTTGCTTCATCCCAAAGTGTACTTGAAGTGGAAATCATTTGAATTTTCCACAGTGCATTATGTTTACTGATATCTATACATCTTCCCTCAGATAAGATCCTAGGAGTAATCACCATTACCTCTATTTTGCAAAAGGAAGATGGGAAATTCAAGGGGGATGAGTGATTTACATCATACTTGGAATTGTGACAGGTCTTGAACTCTGGTTTATTTAGATCTTCCAAGTTAAAAACCCTTCCCCCCAACCCTGCCTCACCACAGAATCCAGCACTGCCTCCCTCAGTTTATAAGTAGGTGACATGTGGACAGAAAGATTCTGGAAAGTCCTGGTTTCTCAGGGTGGCAGCATTTTCTACTGGAAGTTTCTCACAGGCCGGTCCTTGTGTGGTTTGCAAAGTGAGCCCACAGCACTGACTGTGGGGAGGAAGACGGGGACAACAGCTCTGTGGGAAATGAAAGCAGCAGAGAATTCTGACTGTCCTCCATCTACCCCATGGCTGTCCTGCAGCTGCAGGACTCTGTTGGACAGTTCCAGTGGCCCCTGTTGTTCTCCCAGTTGCTCCAACTTGGAAGACGGAATCCCAGAGGACAGGTTGCTATTGGGCCTCTAAGCTCCTCACAGCACTGAGGACCTACAGAAAGTTCAGTGACAGGAAAGTCTGAGCCCCACCGAGATGATATTAAAGATGCAGATTGCTATTCTGTGTTTAACTGAATCTTCAAGGTGTGAATGTCAAGCTGAAAATGACATGCCAATTTAAGACATTAGACCAACTCAGTTTGTGATTTTAAAAATTATACCATATTTTGTTTATCCATTCCACTCATCAGTGGACATTTGGGTTATTTCCACATCTTGGCTGTTGTGGATAATGCTGCAGTGAACATAGGAGAGCCAATATTTCTTTAACATCTTCATTTTATATTGGGGGGGTGTATATACCCGAAAGTAAGATTGCTGGATCATATGATAGTTCTATTTTTAATCTTTTGAGGATTTGCCATAATGTTTTCCATTGCAGCTGCACCATTTACATTCCCACCAATGGTGCAAAAGGGGTTCCTTTTTTTCACATCCTTGCCAACACTTGCTATCTCTTTCGGCATAAATTTCAGTTAAACAAGTTCTAGCGATCTGCTGTACAAAACTGTGCCTATAGTTAATGGTACTGTATTGTTTAAGATGATAGATTTCATGTTAAGTTTCTTACCACAATAAAAATAATTATGCCATAAAATATGCATAAGACTTTTTCAATGAATGTAATACTCAAAATCTGCAACGGAAATGCTTCTTAGCAACAAGGGACCAATAGGAGGATTATATCCTTTCATTCTTCAGCTATACTTAAAATGGGTATTTAGAGTTGAAAAATAATCAGTGTATTTTCACTGTTTTTATTTGGAGTCACTACACAAACAGCTATAAAATTTTGAAGAAAAATAGGCTTATGCAGAAGTATAGAGAGGAAAGATTACATACACCCACAGACCTGACTCCTAGCAAGCGCAACTTGTAAAGTATGAAACAGCTTATATGTTACGAGTGTAATTATAAATTGGCAAAATGTCCTTTTTATCACACTCCAGTACATTTTTATTGCTTTCAGCTTGCTCAAGGTTTTTTATTGCTCAGGATTTGTCTCTGAAATGTACTTGGAGGAGGGAGCTATACATTGTAAAGCCATACACAATCTTAGAAACCCTTACCTCCTGAACCACTTCTTCTGGCACAGGCTTTATCCTTTTCCTTTTCTTGTTAAGTCCACAGAACCATCTCAGGGCAAAATGGTGAAGTGGGCCGACGTAGCCTTTTCTAGTTCTCTGTGTGGTTCACCCGTTCACCGATCTGAATTTCTTCGGACCCCGTCTGAGTCGGTTGTCCTCAGGAGTCGTGTAAAGTCTCTGGGCCCCAGCCTGCGCGCTCCTTGTTTCCTAGTCCAGGGAGTGCCGGTGTTCTGGTTTAATAAACATCCTGGACAAATGAATGAAAAAGGCACTAACTGATAAGAATCCCCATAAAAGGCTATTTAAACTTTAATAATGAACTTTAAAAGGCTTGTAGGCCCAAAACAATGAGTATTTTGATGGTGACAACTCAGATGTGAGAAATGGAGGTGATACTTTGGGAGAAAGTGACTGCAGTAGTCCCCAAATCCCTGGTGGATGCCAGAAACTGCAAACAGTGCTGAACCCTATATGTACTATGTTTTTTTCTTATACATACACACCTGTGATGAAGTTGCTTTTATAAATGAGGCACAGAGATTAACAACAAGAACCACTAATAAAATAGAAAATTGTAGCAATATGCCAGCATCACTACTTGTGCACTTTGGAGCCGTTGTTGATTGAAATAAGAGTGATTTGAACACAAGCACTGTGATACCATGACAACCCACCTGATAACCCAGAGGGCTACTTAAGTGACTAATAGGTGGGTAGCTTATAGGGCATGGATATGCTGGACAAAGGGATGATTCACGTCCCATGCAGGACAGAGCAGGGTGACATGCGTTTTCATCACATTACTCAGGATAGTGAGCAATTTAAAACTTATGAACTGCTTATTTCTGAAATTTTCTATTTAATATTTTCAGGCTGTGATTAACCATGGGTAATTGAAACTATGGAAAGCGAGCAAAACTGCAGATAAGGGGAGACGACTGTATTTCTGATGTACTTCAAATTATACTTTAAAATTTGTCTATAGAAAATTGTTTGTGTTTATTCTTACAGATCTGTGGAACCAATTTTTAAATCTCCTAGGCAGGCTAAAATAATTGCTTTTGCTATCTCATTTTTTATAAACATTTATTTGTGAGATAAATCTTTACTTTTATCTTACAAATAAAAAAGATAAAGAGATAAAGAATATAATAAAATATATTTGCACTTCTAAAATTTGTATTATTAAGCTTTAAATAAAATACAGGAAAATAGTTCTACTATACTAAACTAAGGAATTTTCTTCTAAGCCTCAAATCTAAAAATCTATAAACTAATCTGAAAGAAAAGTAATGAAAATCAGGGTCAGGTGCAGTGGCTCATGCCTGTAATCGCAGCACTTTGGGAGGCCAAGGCAGGTGGATCATCTGAACTTAGTAGTTCCAGACCAGCCTGGCCAACATGGTGAAACCCAGTCTCTACTAAAAATACAAAAATTAGCTGGGCGTGGTGGCAGGCATCTATAATCCCAGCTACTCGAGAGGCTAAGGCAGGAGAATCTCTTGAACCCAGGAGGCGGAGGTTGCAGTGAGCTGAGATCCCACCACTGCACTCCAACCTGGGCAAAGAGCGAGACTGTCTCAAAAAAAAAAAAAAAAGAAAAAAAGAAAATATCAATATTTCTATATAAACTTGGGAATCAGTTGTGCATTTCAGACAAATTTGGGTGAAGGTGATTATGGTTATTATGACAATGAAATACTGACCATCTCTGAGCAAAGGGCTTAAGGAAGTATGTGGGAAGTGCTCAAAAACATAAGCTATGATGATGATGATGATGATGATGATGATGATGATGATTTGAATTTGAGAATATAATCCCATTTTCTTTGGGCTATTCAAAAACTAGCAAAAAGTCAATTAGTTAAAAAAATTTCATTTCAGAAATTAGTTTCTGTGGCCTAGAGGAAAAATACACTGTGTATTCTCATCAATCACTGATTTGAATGGACACTTAAAATACACCTCCATGTGCAGGTAAAAAGAAGTTACTCAATGATGAGCAACCTTGTGGACTAGAAATACAGTCATCCCTGGATATCTGCGGGAGATTCATTCCAGGAGCCCCCCACCCCCAAAGATACCAACATTCATGGATGCCCAAGTCCCTTATATAAAATGGTGTAGTTTTGTATGTAACCTTTGTACAGCCTCCTGTATACTTAAATCATCTCCAGATTACTAATAATACGATGCAAATGCTGTAAAAATAGTCGTTATACTATATTGTTTAAAGAATAATGGCAAGAAAAAAATGGTTGTGCATGTTCAACAAAGTCACAGCCATCCATTTTTTCCCTACTATTCTTAATCACAGTTGGATTCATGAGTGCAGAACCCATGGATATGGAGGGCTGCTGAGTGTACTATATCCCTAGAAAGTTATTCTGAAATAGAGATAAGTAAGCGTAAATCTTACTCATATTTACAGGGTTGCAGCATTGTTTATAAGAGTGAAAATTGACAACTCTCTAATATCTAGAGGTTTATCTATCTAGAACAGGAAGATCATGTTAAATATATACCATCCAAAACTATGCAGATCTTTTTTTTTTATATACTTTAAGTTCTAGGGTACATGTGTACAACGTGCAGGTTTGTTACATATGTATACATGTGCCATGTTGGTGTGCTGCACCCATTAACTCCTCATTTACATCAGGTATATCTCCTAATCCTATCCCTCCTCCCACCACCCCACGACAGGCCCCAGTGTGTGATGTTCCCCATCCTGTGTCCAAGTGTTCTCATTGTTCAGTTCCCACCTATGAGTGAGAACATGTGGTGGTTGGTTTTCTGTCCTTGCGATAGTTTGCCCAGAATGATGGTTTCCAGCTTCATCCATGTCCCTACAAAGGACATGAACTCATCATTTTTTATGGCTGCATTGTATTCCATGGTGTATATGTGCCACATTTTCTTAATCCATTCTGTCATTGATGGACATTTGGGTTGGTTCCAAGTCTTTGCTATTGCGAATAGTGTCGCAATAAACACACGTGCATGTGTCTTTATAGAAGCATGATTTATAATCCTCTGGGTATATACCCAGTAATGGGATGACTGGGTCAAATGGTATTTCTGGTTCTAGATCCTTGAGGAATCGCCACACTGTCTTCCACAATGGTTGAACTAGTTTACAGTCCCACCAACAGTGTAAAAGTGGTCCTATTTCTCCACATCCTCTCCAGCACCTGTTGTTTCCTGACTTTTTAATGATCACCATTCTAACTGGCGTGAGATGTTATCTCATTGTGGTTTTGATTTGCATTTCTCTGATGGCCAGTGATGATGGGCATTTTTTCATGTGTCTGTTGGCTGCATAAATGTCTTCTTTTGAGAAGTGTCTGTTCATATCCTTTGCCCACTTTCTGATGGGGTTGTTTGATTCTTTCTTGTAAATTTGTTTAAATTCTTTGTAGATTCTGGATATTAGCCCTTTGTCAGATGGGTAGATTGCAAAAATTTTCTCCCATTCTGTAGGTTGCCTGTTCACTCTGATGGTAGTTTCTTTTACTATGCAGAAGCTCTTTAGTTTAATTAGATCCCATTTGTCAATTTTGGCTTTAGTTGCCATTGCTTTTGGTGTTTTAGACATGAAGTTCTTGCCCACGCCTATGTCCTGAGTGGTATTGCCTAGGTTTTCTTCTAAGGTTTTTATGGTTTTAGGTCTAACATTTAAGTCTTTAATCTATCTTGCATTAATTTTTATATAAGATGTAAGGAAGGGATCCAGTTTCAGCTTTCTACATATGGCTAGCCAGTTTTCCCAGCACCATTTATTAAATAGGGAATCCTTTCCCCATTTCTTGTTTTTGTCAGGTATGTCAAAGATCAGATGGTTGTAGATATGTGGCATTATTTCTGAGGGCTCTGTTCTGTTCCATTGGTCTATATCTCTGTTTTGGTACCAGTACCATGCTGTTTTGGTTACTGTAGCCTTGTAGTATAGTTTGAAGTCAGGTAGCGTGATGCCTCCAGCTTTGTTCTTTTGGCTTAGTATTGTCTTATCAATGAGGGCTCTTTTTTGGTTCCAGATGAACTTTAAAGTAGTTTTTTCCAATTCTGTGAAGAAAGTCATTGGTAGCTGGATGGGGATGCCATTGAATCTATAAATTACCTTGGGCAGTATGGCCATTTTCACGATATTGATTCTTCTTATCCATGAGCATGGAATGTTCTTCCATTTGTTTGTGTCCTCTTTTATTTGGTTGAGCAGTGGTTTGTAGTTCTCCTTGAAGAGGTCCTTCACATCCCTTGTAAGTTGGATTCCTAGGTATTTTATACTCTTTGAAGCAATTGTGAATGGGAGTTCACTCATGATTTGGCTCTCTGTTTGTCTGTTATTGGTGTATAAGAATGCTTGTGATTTTTGTACATTGATTTTGTATCCTGAGACTTTGCTGAAGTTGTTTATCAGCTTAAGGAGATTTTGGGCTGAGACAATGGGGTTTTCTAAATATACAATCATGTCATCTGCAAACAAAACAAAACAAAACAAAAAACATGGTATTTGCTGTAAAGAGTTTAAATTAACTCAAGGTCGGCCACACCACATTAGAGATGAAGTTATTGTTCAAGTCAGTCTCATCGAAGGCTCATAGATTAGGGATTTTTCAAAGGTAGTTTAGGGGAAGGGCTGGGAGTGGCTAGGAAATGGGTGCTTGCCGCTGATTGGTTGGGGGTGTAATCATAGGGGTGTGGGAAATGATTCTTCTGCATGCTGAGTTACTTATGGGTGGAGCTACGGGAGCTGTTGGCAGGTCCAGTGGAGCCATGGGTAGTCAAACATGCAAAAAACCTGGATATCTCAAAAGGCTAATCTTAGATTCTACAATACTGATGTTATCTGCTGGAATTCATGAGGAAGTTGCATATCTCGTGACCTCTGAACAAATGGCTAGCAATCATTTATGTCTGTATCTTAGCAGAATTTAGGCTCCTCTATTCTCCTAGCCTGGTGGTCTCTCATTAGCTTTAGTTTTGGGGAAGGGCTATTATCATTTAAACTATAAACTAGATGTCTCTCACGGTTGGCTTGCCCAAGCTCAGGAATGATTAAGGGCAACTTGAAGGTCAAGGGCAAGAATGGGGTTAACTAGATCAGGTCTCCCCATTGCCATAATTTTGTCACTGTTAGAATTTGTGCAAAGGCGGTTTCAATTTCACTGTTAGAATTTGTGCGAAGGCGGTTTCCAGAGCTCAGCTTTGACCATAGGACATTGAACTTCCATGTGCCTCATGTTGTTGCTGCTGTTTTACAAATTCATAGACAGAAAATTTCTAGCACACTGCCGGATAAGCTATGAGCAAGTCTTATTATCTCATACTAATATTATTCTAGGCAGGTGGCACCTTTTGAGTCTAGTTACTCTGTAGATCCTAACCAAATAGGAGGATGTGACTGCCTCATAGTCACAGAAAATACTCAACCTAGGCCTGATTCATTCAGTATTCTTATTCCCAATGCTGGCAATATTGTTCATTGATGGATCTGTGTGAGAGACACACAGGAATATACAATTGCATCTTATGCAGTATTTTATAGGTAGAGATGGCTTTTTCTTAGAACGTATTATACATGATTACAAGTGTAAAAATATGGTGAAATAATTTTGTTTGCTTTTCAAATGATTTTTGTTGCTAAAAACTAAAATTAAAAATAGGGAACAAGTATCCTAAATGTTTTTGAAACTATTATCATAGCAATTCTCAGACTATCAAGACTATGAACTATTTTCCATGATAGCACACTAATCATAACAATCATAACCATTTGTATGTGCATATCCAATATCTAATATTCAGGGATAAGGTAATATGGATCACCCAGTTTAATGCTCACAGATTCTTATGTGAAAAAATATATATTTGGTCATAGTTAAAATGGACAAAATAAGTGAATCTGTCTGATGGTCAGATAGTAAATATGTCAAACAAACAAATGATTACAATTTTCAGTTAGAATAACAAAAGCACTTAGATCACTGATTTAATAATAGTGATTCCCTAGCTAATTTTTTCATCTGTGCAGGTTGATTATCAGGGATGAAAAAGTGTGAAAACATTCCAATTAAGTAAATTGCTCTGCAGTTGGTGGGAAGTACTAAGTAATTACTTGTGGTGAGTCCAGAGATGAAGATGGAGTGGGCATCTCTGAGTCACCCAGGCAAAGGAAGACAGGTGCTGCTCCTCACAGCAGAACAAGGAGCTGGGTTTAGAGAGACTGGATAGAATATAGCATTAGGAAGATTATCTCTAACAATCAAGTCAGTGCACCAGCATTTGCCTGGGACCAACTGTGTGTTAAACACTGGTAAATACTGGGAGGGTTAAAGGTGCAGATCTTGGGGAACCTAGCATAAAATTCAACACAGCAGACATTTATTCTCCTTGAAGAATTCCTGATTTTGCAGCAATGCCTATCATGTCCCAGAACGAGGCTGGTTGTTGAAAGTCTCTGAGAAACCAGAGATGGCACCAGCATAATACCCTGAACTTTTATAAGGCACAAAGATTTATAATTATAATAAGGAAATCTGAGAGCAAGAAGACATGCTGATCAATCTCACACAGGAAATTTGTCCCAGATCCAAGTCAAATGACAAGTTAGATGAATTGCCTGCTTTCTAAAAAGGTATTTTAACATTTAACTAACGTGATCATTTAAAGTCAATAGCAATATCTCAGAAAGAACGCCTGTTAAGTTGTGATATATTTAGTTATATGCACTATATACAGAGAGCTAAGTGGCTAGTTCTGCTCTCTTCATTATCTGAATTATTTTAAAAATTACATTTACGTTAATCTTGATTCGTATTTTGGATTGCTTTATGTTTCTGAATGATCATTTCCTCAAAGTTATCAGTAGTGAGCAAACACAAACATTTATTTGTCTTTTTTAAACATGCACTACACTTTGTTTTTCTCTTTTTGACTTATTCAAATATGGTAAATTAATTCATTTTTATTTAAAAAAATGATAGGATGCTCAAGTATCAAACATACAAATGTATTTGCAGTGTTTCATTTTTCAATGATTATGTATATTTAATTAATTAAAGATATGCATAAGTGCATATATACATACATTTTTTCCAATAAGGTACTCTTGCTGTCATTGATTATTCATTTATTTTCTAACATTTCTTTCTTTCTTGACCCGAATATAAACTAACTATTTCAGGCCATGCTCTTTTAGTGCTAGAGAAAACTTTAGATTCCATACTACTTTTTTTTTTTTTTTTGAGATAGAGTCTCACTCTGTCACCAAGGCTGGAGTGCAGTGGTGCAATCTCGGCTCACTGCAACCTCCACCTCCCAGGTTCAAGTGATTCTCCTGCCTCAGCCTCCTGAGTAGCCAGGACTACAGGGGCACACCACCATGCTAGGCTAATTTTTGGTTTTTTTTTTTTTTGAAATAGAGATGGGGTTTCACCATATTGGTCAGGCTGGTCTCAAATTCCTGACCTCAGGTGATCCACCTGCCTCAGCCTCCCAAAGTGCTGAGATTACAGGCATGAGCCACCGTGCCTGGCCCCATAGTACTTTGTAGCATGCTTTCCAGCTAAACTGAAGCCTCAGGTGACATACCATGGCTCTCACAGCTAATTAATGAAAAAGCTGGAACCATCACCCACATTTCTTAATTCCTACTTCAGTTCATTTAATAATGCTAGAATAAGGCAAAGTCACACTTTTCTCATTTTGTGTTGATAAACATTGTATTCTAATGGTTAGTAAAAAATAATGCATTCATGAGCACTTTAAAATAATTAAGTACAACTGTTCACATAGGCAGTTATCGATACTAATTTAAATAAGAAACAGTTTTGCATGTTACACCATTATCTGTAATCTTCTGAAAATAACAGGGACAAAAGCAGTATCATCCTTGCCTAATGTCATCTGCTAGTGAGGGGATGCAGACCTAAGTGATTAAGTTGATTCCGGCTGAGAATCAAAGGAAAAGGTCCATAGATTCATCCTTGCTTTCAAAGAGTAGCATTGTGAGAATGAGTAAGAGGAAATATCACTTAGTATTAACAGATAATAATAAGCAGTGTTTCCTACTAATTGATTATTTACCGTATGCTAGTCCTATGTTAAGAGCTTTAGAGATACGTGAGAGTCTTGTGAGTCCGGATCATCATTCTCCCCAGTGTTCAGAGGAGAAGGCTCTGCGTGGTTGAGTGTCTTGCCCACAGTCACAGAACCAGTATATGTTGGGACTTGGCCTCAGACCCAGGTCTCTCCAGCTTCGCAGCCTGTGTTCATCATATGATATATCACTTACAGGAAACTCCAAAACTGAGCTGAAGTCTTTGACAGTTGCAGGAGCCAGCATCCTGCTGGAGCCGTGGCCTCACAGTCCTGTCTATGTCCTTGGGAGGGCTCTGTGGCAGCCCCAGGTCCCACTTGCCAGGAGTCCCTTCTTCACCCATGAGCATCCTGAGAACAGAGGAGGTTGAGGGGGCAGCAGCAGAGGGTTAACAGCTCTTCAGCAGGCACTGGGTCCACATGCTGGAGCCCTTTTTTGTTTATTTACTATGTTTAGACATCAGATGCCAAGGTTTCCATGAGTCACCTTCCTTAGTGAGTAATCATGAAGGAATGATCGGTCTGGTCTGCATAAGACCCTACTCTTGCCTTGGTGTTCATTCATTCATTAATCATATTTTTTTGTACATGATTCATATTTCCCCAGTCCAATACATTTTATTTGTACATACTCTTTTAAAAATCATAATTCTTTTGTTCACACATATTTACACTTACATATAATATTGTTTTATATCTTTCATTTTGCTTTTTACTGATTAACTCTGCATAAATATAATTGTACTAGTCATACTAAGGTGATAAAGATAATATGCTAATTTTTAATAATCTATAGAAACATTTTAATTGCTTCATAAAATCATCAAGGTATATGTCATGGTAATTATATTATTAATGCTATATACTTAGAATTAATACAATTTCTTCATATAACACTTATAATTAACAAAGTGTCTTAATCAAATAATCTTGTTAACAGGCATTACAGGGAGCAGCTTAGCAATATCTTTCATTTGTATAGTTCCTTAGAATTTTGAAGTCACCTACAGAAACATCTTCCAACAAGCTATAATTGGGCAGAGCAGTTAGTATTATTCCCATGTTACTCATAAAGAAGCTGAGATTACAAGCACTAAAATTTGTATCCAATATCAGCATAGTCTGGCAATTAAGGAAACAGAATTAGAACTCAGGGACTCACGGGCACTTTCTTACCCCACACACAGACAGCTTAAAATAATAACAGCATATTAAAATAAGAATCTCTCGTAGTACATTTAAGTGTTTGGGAAACTAATAATAAACTGAAGCTGCTGAAGAATCTGTTTCTTTTAGACAGGCTTTTCTAACATCTTTGTGAGGACTAACTGAATTGATGTGTGAAATTGCATAGGACAGTGGTGGCCCTATGCATAGTAGAGATTTAATGTTTATTTTAAAATTCAGAGACTCATTTCAGTATCTCGTAATTTAAAATAAAGATTTGATGATAAAAACCCACTAAAACAGAAATGACAAAATGACAAATTTGGAAAAATAACAAATTTCTAACAGTCTTCTTAAAAATAGTTGTTGATGAGTCTTACCTTGACAGATTTTTTTCTGCTTATGGCTGTCAATCTGGGTATTTCATACTCAACCACAACTATCCATGCGCTTAACATTTTGCAGACCAGGATATCACATGAGCACCATCACTGACTGTGACTGTTAGATTTAACTAATGTGACCGCTAAAAATCAAAGTAGAGTGTTGGAAATTTTTCAGTAATGTCATTAATTCCTAAATTATTTATGAAACATATTTCCAGCATGTGAGTGGACTCCAAGCCGCAGATTTCACTCACTTTCATGTATACCTAAGGAACATGTTATGGAAACTGATCATTTTATCTGAAAATACTCATTTTTGATTACTTAATATAATACTTAGCTAGAATGCCCTCAAAGACAGAGAATCCACATCAAACTTAAGTGACTGTCTTTCAATAAGATGGAGCTTTTATACATGAACACACCACACACACAAATTGCAGAGGAATGCTGTAAAAAATAAATGATTTATAATCTTACAAATACATTATATATATTAACTAGTTTAATTCTTACCAAGATTGCCAGATAGATACAATTTTTCTACTTTACAAAGAAAGATGATGATTTCTCCCAAGGTCACATGCCTGCTAAGACAGAAAAGAATTTGAAGGACTATGGCTTCCGAAAACTATTCTGTATACCCTCACTCTCCACAGAGCTGTAACTTTTGCTATTTATGTCTAAAATGAAGACGTAAGCCTCTGCAGAATTGTTGAAGGCTGCATATTTCTATAAAAGCTGGCTTATCCTTCTAGAAGGTTCGTTTTTCCACCTTAATAAAACAAAGCAGGAATAGGTCTTTGTGTTCGCCATTCTTTCTGTCCGTAGTGGTCATGTGCTCACGTATGAACTCATGTCTGCTCTGCAAGCTCTCGAAGCAAACTTTGAATATAATAAATAAGAAACTACACTGCATATTTTTAAGACACACATTATTTTACTGTTATAGATAAGGTTATTTCAATAATAAGCCCTGAATGTTATGACAGTGAAATGCTAGTATAAATCTTTCCTGCCCAAAATGTATTCTCTTTAATTTCTATATCTTTAAAGAACAATGGTTCATTTGGTTGGTATCCCATGAAGCTGGTTATAATTCTATATAAGACAATAATGTGATTTCTGAAATTTCAAATGAATTAATGTGATTATATATATAAACTTTTAAATATATTTTAGTCATATGTAATAAATGTTTGATTTTTTATTGATATCTCTGAAGTTGCAAAGAGTATGTTTCTCATCTGCCTTATTCACAAACTATTAGGTAATGTCTATTTAAAGTTTCTTAAATGTTAATCTATTTAATTAAGCAAAAATTGACATTAAGTTTTATTTTGCTACATGATCCTATTATCACATCACTCAGAAGTATATTTTCCAGAGTTTACACTTTGAAACAAATTGAGAAAGAAGTAACATTTGGCAGATAAAGGTGAAAAAATTCTGTTTTGGTAGGGTTCCTTTGAAAGGTTTTTATTGTATTGTTTTTGCTGAGGTTTACAAAGTTTATTCAGCTACAGAAAAATATGATTTTAATTCTGCAACTGAATTTTAACATTGGAGTCAAAATGCTCATAGGATCTGATGTTCTTGTATTAGCTTGGCTGTATGTCTTAGATATTAAACCCAAATTAGAACCAAAATAAAAGGATGGATCAACCATCTCTACCAACCATGCCAACAATGACCAACCTGGGTCACAATCACAGCAGCCACCTCCACGCAGGTGGTGGGCTGATTGATTTCCAGGTGTTATCTCAATTAGTACTCTGGCCCTTCAAGATCAGTTTCACAGATGGAGAAACTGCAGCTTGCAGCAGAGAGTAGCAGGGTTTGAGGTGGTGGAGCTGGGATATGGCTTCTTTTATATAGGTCAGCCTGGGCTGTCCAGACAGAAGGTTGTGAGTGCAGAGGTTGTGCAAATATTTACCTGAAGTTGGTATAGCGATTGTTAACTCAAAAAATGTCGATGTACATGACCCTTTAGTTGGAACAAGAGTGAAATGATTATCTCTGGCTGGGCATGGTGGCTTAATGACTGTAATCCTAGCATTTTGGGAGGCCCAGGTGGGCAAATTACTTGAGGCTGGGAGTTCGAAACCAGCCTGGCCAACATGGCAAAACCCCGTCTCTACTAAAAATACAAAAATTAGCCAGGTGTGGTGGCATGCTTCTGGAATGCCAGCTACTGGGCAGGCTGAGGCAGGAGAATTGCTTAAATCTGGGAGGCAGAGGTTGTAGTGAGTCTAGATCGCACCACTGCATTCCGGCCTGGAAGACAAAGTGAGACCCTGTCTCAGAAAAAAAAAAAAAAAAAAAAAAAAAAAGGTGAAATGATTATCTTGGAATTGGCACGAATTAACAATAGACGAACTGTTACCAAGTCTGAGCATCAACACTAGCATTTAAAATTGACCACATTCACTAAGGCATTTCCTATATTTTTATTTCCATGTGTTTATACCCAGGGACACCCATTGGTGGTTGGGTATGAGGCAGGCTGATCTTTATTCTCTTTGTTTTGTTGTTAAGCCTGGTACATTCTTTTTTTTTTTTTTTTTTTTTTGTGATGGAGTCTACCTCTGTCGCCCAGGCTGGAGTGCAGTGGCACGATCTTGGCTCACTGCAAGCTCCACCTCCCGGGTTTACACCATTCTCCTGCCTCAGCCTCCTGAGTAGCTGGGACTACAGGGGCCCACCACCATGCCCGGCTAATTTTTTTGTATTTTTAGTAGAGACGGGGTTTCACCGTGTTAGCCAGGATGATCTCGATCTCCTGACCTCGTGATCTGTCCAACTTGGCCTCCCAAAGTGCTGGGATTACAGGCGTGAGCCAACGCGCTGGCCCTAAGCCTGGTACATTCTTTAGTAAAGCAAAATAATTAGGCAGGAAACATTCTTCATTCTTGGTTGAACTAACTGCTGGCCTGTTCCATACATAGATATTAACTATGTGCCCCAGTCATGTTAGGTGATAGCACTTCTAGTGCAAAATAGCATTAACCCTTTCCTTGTTCTCACACATGCCATATTCTTAAAAATCTGAGAACAATGAAAAAAATATCTAAAACAACTTTGTTTGCTTTGCACTCTGATCCTTCCCAATGTTCAGATAGCAAGATGGAGTGAAGAGTGAAAGCCCCTTTGCCTTGGAGCAGATAGTGGCAGTGTGCTCCTCTTGACACCCCCAGGAAACAGGCCACAGGTGCATGGAGCTGTGTTCACTGTGAAGTGGATTCAGCCTGATAACATGGAATCAATGATGCCATTGAAATCAAAGCCAGATGTAATCCTGCCCACACTCTATGATAGCTGTCCTACCTCCAGAGTGTCCTTTCTTCTTCCTAGACTGTAGTTTTTCATTTATAAATTAAGGGTGTGGGGCTGGAATCATGTCTAGGTCCCTTCCAACTCTCTAATTGCAGATTCCAGGATTCTCACTGCAGATCCTTTGCCTGTTACCGTGGTGCTTGATTGCCCTGCCATGTGATGTGGCTTTTTGTGAGCATCTTTACCACTTGATTAGGGAGGAATCTGTGGGATAGCATTTTAGAAAAGTGAACTTCATAGAGGTTGCCATGTTTATAGTCATTTTAATGATGTGGATGAAATTTAAACTACCTTGTAAATAAAGAAAACTTAGACAATGGTGACGAATTCAGGGACTGGAGAGGTTGTCACATCCTTGTTAACCATTAGCAGTGTTTCCTTTAAAACAGCAGCTTTTTGCATATTAGCAAAGCGAGCATACATTGCTCATTGCCATGAGAGGTGACGACATGAAGATGGTGTGTCCTGCAGATACATTGATCCCTTTCTCTGTTTTCTCCTAGGGTTTTCCAGGAAACACAAACGCAGACAGTGTGGTGCACTACAGACTCCAGCCTCCCTTTGAAGCCAGGTTCCTGCGCTTTCTCCCTTTAGCCTGGAACCCTAGGGGCAGGATTGGGATGCGGATCGAAGTGTACGGATGTGCATATAGTAAGTGGCCTTTATTCCCTGTGTGAAATCAAGGTCAGCATGAGATTCTGTCAAAGCCAAACTGTAAAAGCCAATGTCGGCATGAAATGTTGAACTTGACTTTTTCTGTCTTTTTATATAGCTGGGCAAGCAGAACTGGTTTTTATGGAAACACTCTAGTGTCTCCCCATGACAATATGGACTTTAGTTACTGTCTTTTATAGTTGAATTTAGTGGTGGACCTGAACTGAAACTTACCTGTCTTTAGATTCCCAGAGTTTAGCAAAGTACTTGCAATATGGTAGGCATCTGATGAAACGAATACAATTCAAACTAACAACAGATGATGCTGTTTTTTTGAAGCTGAGATGATACGCTGTCTGGGAAAACAGGAGCGGTACTGGGGGCAGGGTGTGATTTCTCGCAATCTCTTGGTTCTCTGTGTTTTTCTCTGCTAACGTCCTCTTTTGCACACTGTGCTGTCGCTTCACTTGATCTTCACTTGGTGGGAACCTGTGTTTAGTCAGCCTCTTTTCTCACCTATTCTTTGTTATAAAAGTGGAAAGGATGGGGCCGACATGAATATAACACAAACAAAAAGCCGGCCGTGAAATTATTTGGTGGTACTCAGTGACACAGTTGCCACTTGATGATCTAGAACATACTTGTATTCTTTCTTTACATTATCATAAAAATGTTTTAAATTATTGTCAAAATGGAATAAAATTGAAAAATACTCCTGTATAAAACTGGAGAACAGGTCAAAGAGCAGCCTGGATGGAAATGTCTTAAGCAGCTTCAATTTGGGTCCGGCCGGATGTTCATATCACACTATTTACACACAGTCACTCCCATTCTCTGCCTACTCACAGCTTTAGCCCTGCAGAATATTAATTTTCTAAAGCATGATAACAACGTCTGTCATTCATACAGCATTTAATATCTCAGATACTATTATTTCCATTTTATTACTTAACTCCTGTACAACCCAGTTCATTTCCTAACTCTGCTTGTTTTTTAGTGTTTACATTTCTACAGGGCTAAATATAATGATGTTGCTTTACCAACAGTCTTTTTTCTTCCTGTTATTGTTCATCTCCTTCCATCCCTGTGTTTTCTGGGACCTATAACTGTGCTCTCTGTTTCAATGGCTAAGATGTCTGATATTTGGAATCTCTCTTTGATGCTGTGAAGTTACCTTCTCCTCTCATTACTCTGAAACAACTTCAGGTTTACTGACTTCAAAGTGGAACATGCTCTTTGATGGCGATTTGCCATTAGCTTGATGTTCCTTCATGAAGAGATATTACTCCAGTTCCTTGGGCTGGAGGTTGGTACCAGGAAGATCAAAGCCCCGTGCCTGATTCCAGGAAGGGCCGGTGAGCGGTGCAGCTGCCATGCAATCTGCTGGCACCGTTAACTTCTGTAAACACATGCTGTTGGCTGTAAGGGACTACTAGTAAAAAAACCCAAACATGCAGACAGATAATATGTGACCACTGCTAACTAGCTAAAAGTAATTCTTTAGAACAAGTGGACATCTACATTGTCTTTTTTTCCTTAGAAGAATAATTGTTCAAGTATGGTGATTTTATTTTTGTTGTTGACAGTAATACAATCCTTTATGACTTATGTTAATAATGGTAGTTTCAGTATTTTCCTTTGTATTTCCACTGCCCTGCTTGTTTTCTAGAACGTT
Source organism: Homo sapiens (assembly GCF_000001405.40). Lineage (NCBI taxonomy): Eukaryota > Metazoa > Chordata > Mammalia > Primates > Hominidae > Homo > Homo sapiens. Next base: position 39,191,449 of record NC_000009.12, on the reverse strand, counting down.
GCTTATAATGACTTATAATATCCCTGCCACGCAGCATCTCTTCCCATTTATTTATTTATGTATTTATCAATTTATCTTTTTTTATTTTAAGAGGCAAGTTCTCATTATGTTGCCCAGGCTGGAGTGCAGTGGCTACAGGCACAATCCCACTGCTGATCAGCACGGGAGTCTTGACCTGCTTCATTTGGGAGCAGGGCTAGTTCACTCTTCCTTAAGCAACCTGATGGTCCTCCGCTCGGAGAGATCACCATTTGATGCTAAAATTTGTTCAGACACCTGATCATCATAGTGCACCCCTGGGCTCCATCGATCCTCTACCTCAGCCTCCTGAGTAGCTGGGACTGCCCAGCCCTAGTGTTACTAGCTTTTCTACACTTCATTTACAGTAATAGATTCATTATTCCTTTAAACTGTGTGTGTTTTCACAGACTCCTGGCTTACTCTATTTATTTCTATTTCCACTTCTAGCCTGGGGATAGGTTGTAGGTTCTCCCAGAGTTGCTGCTCAACTGCAGAATAAAGCCATGAGCACAGATGGCCTCGGGCCCTTCTTGACAGCTGTATTCTCCTGGTTTTCCATGCACCTTTGCATGCTACTCTTCTTGCCACTCCTTAAAGGCTAGCATTATCCACAGATTGGTTCTAGGTCTTTTATCCTGCTCCCAAGCTCTCTCTGAGCCTTTTATCCACTTCCATGAGTTTTCAGTAGCATTTACACACTGTGGCTGATAACTTCCAAATACGTATCCGCAACCTACTCTGAGGAGTTCCAACCTCTGGTACCAACCTCTCTTCACTGGCCCTGTGAGCACTTAAAACTCAGTTGTCTATCTGCTCATTTTCCTTTGTTTTCCATCTTATAAAACGATACCAACAGCCACCTATTGACTGAAACCTGATTCTATCTCCTAAATGTTTTGAATTTCTTTCTCTCCCTCCAGTTTAGCCTAAATGAGCACCAGCCTCCTAAATCAGCTATTTGTCTCTGGTCTTGATCTTTCCAGTTTTTAGTCCACACAATAATCAGGATGATTCCTGGAAAAACATGCACATTCGATTGTTCAAACTCGATTGTTGAGACATGCTTAAAGCTACGCCCAAGACACTAGGATTGTTTCCCAGAGGCCTTAGACAGAAAAATAAATTCCCTATGCTCTACTGCCTGTCCAGGCCTTCGAGGGCATCTCTCAAGAACAAAGGGGAACTCCCAGAATCTTAGGCCAGAACCCTATGGGTCCTTGACGCATCTATCTCTCTTGCCCTCCATGTCCAGTGAGTCACGAAATTCTGTATTCTTCCCTCCAAATTACACCTTGCATGATTTCAGCTCTCTTTAGCTCTACTACCGACTTAATCTAAACTTGGTGTCCCACAAATTATGGAAATTGCCTTCCAAGTTTAGGTCATTCTGTCTCTGTTCATAGCTGACTACATTATATTCTCCACACTGCAACTCAAGTTACCTTTTAAAAATGCAGAACTGATACAATTACGTCCCTGTTTAATACCATCAGTGGCTTTCCATTGTTCCTAAAATAACATCCAGACTCCCAGCAAGGCCTGAAGGAGCTTGTCCCTGAATAACTCTCCAGTGCCACCTCTTGCTGCCGTCACCTGCTACCTGTCCACTGTCAATTGTGTCCGGCTTTTTACTGACTCAAAGCCTTTACGCCTGCGGTCTCCCCTGCTTGAAATGCTCCTTCCCCATGTTCTCAACTGGCTATTTACTCTTCCTCTTTTCGATCTCAGTTTAAATGATGCTTCCTAGGCCCTCACTCTACATTTGTTTCCTCATTATAAGTTCCCAGGAAGCCTATAGTATGACTTCATGTGCTATAGTCACTTTTTATAGTGTATCTGTATCTGTCTTATTAGAGGCCTAGTTTCCTTTTTCCTCATTAGACTTCAGGCTACACTAGGGTAAGGTACATTCATTGCTGTAACATCAGCACCTAATACAGAGCCAGGAACATACTAAGTGCACCATAGCTTTGCATTGAGTGAATGAATGAATGAAGCAATTCAGAAAAAAAGTCTGACAGATGATAATAAAATCTGAATAATGAATCTAAATTTCAGATTATTTCTCTCTTATACTAGCCATCCAGGTAAGGCAGGTATCTTGGAGATTATATTGTTATAAAGTATAGTATTAAAAATTGTAATAACTCTAGTAAAAATAGCAAATATAAGATTTTACAGTTATGTTTCCATTCTTCCATCTGATACTTGATGCATCTTTATGTAGTAGAAAGGCAGTTATTAACACCCAGATGTTCCAAGTACGCAATCTGAGAAGCCACACCAAGGGCCGGCAGTGCAGGAGCTACAAATAGTCACCAGAGACAGGGAGAGGACTCCAGTCCTCTGACTACCAATTCCATGTTCTTGATGGATAATAACTGCCGAGGTTTCATAAAGGATCATTATATTGATACTTGTTTTGATATATTGCTATATTGATTGATGGCGGCAGCTTCTTTTCTACTTTCAGAGAGACAGCATCAAGCTGCATTGTATTGTATATAAACATTTAGTTTTTGATTCTGTGCCTTCCTCCTTTTTATCATGCCAGCTTTAATTATCCTCAATTTCAGAGTTCTTTAAATCACTCCACTTTCTTTGATATTAATGCAAAAAATAGAACAGTCCTCTTCTTGTTGTTTTCTCAAGTGGTTAGTATCCTTTCCATCTCTTTAATTCCCAGTCCGCTAGTGCAGATTTTAAGGGCTTACATTCCACTCCATGCTAGTGTTTTAGTATTTTCATTAGATAACACTCAAACATGGCTTTTGTCTGGTTCATGTTTCTGTTAAACTGAGATTGGGCTTCTATTCCTTTGTAAGTCACGGGCAATAATTCATGAAGGAAAAAGAAAATGGTTAGTATTCAAGGTTGACTTCATAAATAACCAAGAAGAGCTTGGTTCGCCACTTTTTTGGTCCCTTAATGGTGGAAAATTTGGTGGGGGAGGGGGTCTGGGAGTGGTGGATTCTTCTTTAAAATTTTAATACTTGGAGCACAGCCCAGATAATTAACAGAATTCTAAAATGTTCTTTTCACGAAGATTTCTTTTATAATGTCCCAAGTGAAAATCATTTTTTATTACTCACAGGTAATTCTTTATTCATGCATTTTCTGTTACATTTTCTTATAACTTAGTCTTCAAATAGTTTTATATGTCATTCAGACTCTGTCTTACATAGCTATGCTATTACCAATCAGTCCTTTTCTTATTCATCATTCTAGCTTCACTTATAATTGGTTGAACCATATATTTGCCAGTTTTGTAGATCAAATACAGTTGAATATTAGCAGCTTCATCTGGATTAACTGAGTGCTGTACTGTTTTCCGTAGGAACAACAGACGGCAAGTGGAGGTTTCCGGTAAAACAAAACAAATAGAACAAATAGTGACTGGACAAAAGCAAATTTTATTTTCTCCCTTCCAAAATTTTACCTGTCCTTGATTAGAATTTGAGACATGGGAAATTTTCATAACTCCTGAGATGGTCCAAGTTTGTATTTCTTCATTGGTGTTCTAATGAAGTTAGAACTACCTACCTCTGTAAAGTTCCTTTAATTGTTTTATCACTTTTATATATACACGCTGTGCTAGTTTGCATCACTGGCACCAATTCTGCACCTGTTCCTTGCCAGTGCCTGTGAGTGGTGTATGCTTCCCTGCCCCCTGATTTTTGAGCCAGCCAGTGACTTCCTTTGGCTAATGGTAGGCAGAGTCAACTCTACAGTGTACCTACTGTCCTCCTTTGTGTCTACCATTAATAAGCATGCCTGAAATATGAATTCCAGTAAAATGAAAAGAGATACATGCTTTACATATTTTGAAGCTGTTTCATTAAATGCATATAGATTGGGAATTGTTTTATCTTCCTTAAAGTTGATTTTTTGTAATTATGAAATATCCTTGTTTATTTCTAATAATGCCTCCTGCCTGTAAGTCTGCATTCTCTGATGATAGTACTGTATAGCTATGCCAGATTTCTTCTGGTTAGTGTTTTCATGGAATAACTTTTTCCATTCTTTACTTTCAAACTTTTTGTCTTCATATGTAAGGACTCTTTCTTTATTATTTAAACCAAATCTGGAAATCATTGAGTTTTAGTTGGTATATTTAGTCCACTTATATTAAATGTAATTACTGACATATGTGAAATTGTAGCTGACATGTTACTCTCTGTTTTATATTTGGTTCACTTGTTTTATACTCCTTTTTCTCTCCTCTTCTTTTGGGTTAATCAAGTTTAATTTTTCCAGTTTTTCCACTATTGTTTGCTGTTCTAATTTTGTTCTCCTAGGTACTTGAGCTACTACTTTTATCACTTTCCAAACAATACTAGGATTTAAGTACAACTTATGTTAGTTTAGTTAAACTCCTCCCACCATGTGTGCTATGTTGACACATTTTAGTTTCATACATACATGTGTATATGTGTACATATATTTTAATCACAAAATTTAATATAATTTTTTTTGCAATCAGTATTCACTTGAATTTACTCACATATTTACTTTCTCTGCATTTTCATGCTCTTTCTGAATCAAATTCTTTCAGCTAGAAAGACTCCTTTTAATATTTGTCTTAGCCCAGTTCTACTGGTAATAAATTGTCATATAGCTTTTGTTTGCCTGAAAATTGTCTTTATTTTATATGAACTTCTGAAGGCTGTTTCAGCTTGCTGGAGAATACGGTCTGTAGTTATTTTCTTTCGGCCTTTTAAAGATGGCATTCTATTGTTTTCATGATGTTTATTAAGAAATCAATAGGTAATTGATTTTTATCCTATAAGGGAAATGTGTATTTTTCTTCTGGTTACTTTTGAGAATTTATTATTTGTCTTTGATTTTCAGCAGTTTTGCCTTGATGTGGCTATTTTAGTTTTCATTGAATTTGTCCTCTTTGGATTTCACTAAATTTCTTTTTTCTATGCAGTGATTATTAGATTGGGTAATTCTTCACTGTTACTTCTTCAAAATATTGCTTCTGTCTCGCATTTCCTTTCCTCCTTTCTGAGACTCCAATTACATCTGTCTGAGATGTTTGTATCTTATTTTCTTTCTTTGTCTCTCTCTTTCTCCCTCCTCCTGCTTCTCTCTCTCCCTCTCCTCTTTCATCTTTTCTTTCTATTTATGCTGCAGTCTAGACATTGTGTACTGCTTTATCTTCTATACTACTAATCAGATCTTCTGCTGTGACCAATCTGTTGTTGAATATGCCAGTGAGCTATTAATTTTAGTTACTGTGATTTTCAGTTTGGGAATTTCTGTTCATGTATCCTAGTGAAACTCCTTATCTTGCTGCCTATTTTCCTGGAAATATTAATTACAGTTATTTTAAAGATTTTTCGTTAACTTCAATATCTGGATTATCTCTTGATCTTTTCCATTGTCTGGTTTTTGTTTCCGTTTTGATGTCTGATAATTTTGGCTGAATTCTGGACATGTTGGACAGAAATTTGTAGAGGCTAGAGAAGACAAAGTGATCCCCCAGCGAATCCCCACCACAGCCTCTGTTAGGCTTCTAGATTAGGCACAGATGTTAATTCAAATAAGCATTTAACTGACTCAGTGCAGCGTCTCAGTCCCCATGAGGCCTAGTTGATATCTTATATCTGGAGTACAATGCTTCACTAGTCCCAACTGAGATTTGAAGGCCTTTGCCAAAACATTTTTTTGAAAATCTCTGAATTCTGCCATCTGACTCCTAATTATGATGAGTCTACAGAGACCCCTGCTTCGTGACCCAGCCTCATAGCTGTCCTGTCACTTTCTGCTTGGCCACCTTGTCTCTTGCCCATTGCTCCTTGGGAGTTGACCAGTGCTTCAAGGGTAGAAGCAGAAAGAGTGTTCTGAGCTTGTCTTCTAAGATCTTTACATTCTTGAGTCCTGGCAGTCGTAGTAGATCTTTAAAACTTTCAAGAAGATTATTTAAACTTTACTTGGTACACATTTTCTACTTGTCCTTGGTAGGAAGTGTAGTCTTCTGAATGTTTGCTTGTCATAACTGAAAATATAACTAACTGCATTTCTTTTAATGCCATGGGAAATGTGTTGAAGAAAACAAAGTGTATATAATTTTTTCATATAATAATGTGTTTATAATACAATCTACTTAATATTTTGGAAAATTATTTTTCTGTAAAACACTGAAGTGCTAATTAAATTTCAACAAATTTTTTTAAAAATAAATAAAGCTGGTCACAGTGGCTCATGCCTGTAATCCCAGGACTTTAGGAGGCCAAGGCAGGCAGATTACTTGATTGCCCAGCCTGGGCAACACAGCAAAACTCCATCTCTACAAAAAATACAAAAATTATCTGGACATGGTGGTGTGTGCCTGTGGTCCCAGCTACTCAGTGGGCTGAGGTGTGAGGATTGCTTGATCCCAGTGAGGTCAAGGCTGCAGTGAGCCAAGATCATGCCACTGCACTCCAGCCTGCGTGGCAGAGTGAGACCCTGTCTCAAAAAAAAAAAAAATTTGTCATAAAAAAGTAAAATAAATAGAAACTCAAAATAAGATGAAAAAGTAAATCCCTGTCCATCAGAAATAAGTAAGTTGAAGAATTGGAATGTGAACCTACTCACAGAGGATTCCAGACTCTGTGCAATCAACTATCTTTACCAGGAAATGGGAGAAGGAGAAAAGAGAGAGGAAAGAAAAGAAATAGAGAGGAAAGATCATGCATGAAAATTAAAGAGAGAGATCAAGGCCTTTACTGAGAATGCAGAACCAAGGCCTGTTTTCCCTAAGTTCCTCTTATTATGCCCAGAAGGAAAGAAAATATGTGAGTGAATAAAGGCAAATATTTCCTAGGAAAGCTTTGTGTATTCATCGATTGCAGGATTCAATATTCTTATCATCCTCCCCGAATTGATCTACAGAATCCCAATACATCTATTCTAACTTATTATTATATTAAAATGAATCATCACTAGTCTTTAGAGAAATAAAATCACAATGAGAAACCACTATACACCTAGCAGAAAGGCTAAAATTAAAAAGGGTGGAAACACCAAGTGTTTGGCAAAGATATGGAATTCTTATACATTGCTGGTGGGAAATGTGAAAATGATACTATCACTTTGGAAAACAATTTGGCATTCTTCTAAGCTAAATATACACTTAATATATAGCTCAGCAATTCCACTCCCATGTATTTACCCAGCAGAAATGAATGCATATGTCAACATAAAGATGTATGTGTGAATGTGCCTAGCAGCTTTATTTATAATAGTTTAAACCTGGAAACAGTTCAAATGTCTATCAGCAGGTAAATGGATAAACAAGTTGTCAAACAGTTGAATACCCCAAGCAATAAGAAAGAACAGACTGTTGATATATGCAACAGCATGCGTGTATTTCAAAAACGTTACACTTAAGAAGGAACGCAGACACAAAAGAACACATACACGATACAATTTTATGAAATTTTGGAACTGACAAAACTAATCTGTAGTTACGGAATGTAGATCATTGGTTTCCTGGGTCTGGGTCTGGGTGACAGTGTTGGGGGTTTGATGCAAATGGCAATTAGTGAGTTGATATGAAATTGCCTACACCTTGATTTTTTGGCAATAAGGTAGGTATATATATTTATTAAAACTCATTGAACTATAACCTTAAATTTATTGAATATAAATTATAACTCTATGAAAATGATATTCATGTTTCCATATTGGAATTGTGGGTTTTGTTGTTGTTTTTTTGAGAGAGAGTCTCTCTCTGTTGCCCAGGCTGGAGTGCAGTGGAGCAATCCTGGCTCACTGCAACCTCTGCCTCCTGGGTTCAAGCTATTCTCCCACCTCAGCCTCCTGAGTAGCTGAGATCACAGGCATGCACCACTACACCCAGCTGATTTTTTGGTATTTTTAGTAGAAATTTTACCATGTTGCCCAGGCTGGTCTTGAACTCCTGACCTCAAATGATCCACCTGCCTTTGCCTCCTAAAGTGCTAGGATTACAGTGTGAGCCCCTGTGCCTCACCCCATATTGGAATTAACATTCAATTTATTTAGAGAGTAAACCTCTGTAATCTGCCCATTATCCCTGATAAATCATCCTGAAGCCTTCGTGTCATCACAGCTACCTAGTTAGCTTATTAAATATGCAAACCCCTGGGTCTCAACCACAGAAATCCTGATTCCTGGTCTGGTTGAGGCTCACGTTCTAAAGTCTCCAAGTGATCACTCCTAGTCAATCTGAGTGAAGGTGGTTGATAGAACACTTTAAGAAAATTTCTGTGGAATCGTGTTTTTTTTTTTCTTCTGTAAGACATCAGTGTTTGCACCCTATGGAATCTTGCTGTTTTCAAGCAATGTTGATGTTTCCTCTGAAAAGGCAGTACAAGGTAGGATGGGGATGAGACATGCCTGTGCTTAGAATGACAGTGAGAAGCAGAAAAGTAGTAATGAGAAGCCAGAGTTAAGAGTACATTCTGGGTGTGAAAAATGTGAAAGTAGGCCAGGCGGGGTGGCTTATGCCTGTAATCTCAGCACTTTGTGAAGCTGAGGCGGGCAGATTGCTTGAGCCCAGGAATTCAAGACCAGCCTTGGCATCATAGTGAGACCCCCCATCTCTAGAAAAAAAGTAAAAAATTAGCCAGGCATTGTAGTGCATGCCTATAATCCCAGCTACTTGGGAGGCTGAGGCTGGAGGATCACTCTAGCCCAGGAGTTCAAGGCTGCAGTGAGCTGTGAAGATACCACTGCACTACAGCATGGGCAACGGAGTGAGTCTCTGTTTCTAATAAAAGTAAAATGTGAAGGTAAAATATGGCTTAAGGAAATAAAGGAAATAGCAACTCAAAATTACTTATGTCTTAGCTTTTCAGAGACGTCATACTTTGCAGGAGTCTAAAGCAGGTAGACTCCTTCCTTATCCTTTCTTAGAAGTCATTCTGGACCAGATGCCTGTTTACAGAAGCATCACTGTGAATGTGGCAGAAACAATCGTATTTCAGGATTATATGACCTTTTTTCCATACTGTGGGATCCTTAAAAGTAATTCATTGTCTTCTGCATTTTTATCTTTCACCTAGCATATGGAAGGCTTTCAGTGAATATTAGCTGTATGAATGAGGACATAACACATTTTAGCAAAATTACTTCTGACACAGTTCTTCCTTGTATGACAAAGTTCTTTATCTACAAGAATTCGTATTTGGGAACTTTGTGAACACATCTGTCCTTAGCTTTTCCGATATTCTTTGAGGAAGTGTGACAAAAACATTATAATTGCACCAATAATCTTCAAGTATCATTTAAAAACTCTAGTGGTCCTCTAACACAAGAAAATGAGATAGATATATTAATACTTCTGAGTAAGATTTAGGTTACCAGTGATTGAAGTGAGTCAGCCCAGGAACAAGCTGGCTGGCAGAGAAGGAGCTGTGTAAGTGTGGATGAATGGTTGTAAATCTCTTTTTCCTGGTGGAAACTGAAGATTTCCTAGGTCCTTCAAAAATTAAATCCGCTATCATTTTAAGCTGTCTACTTTCCTATATATCCCCTATGTGCTATTTTAAACTCATTTCCACCTCTTTTTCTGCCCAGTGCCCTGACAATAATAATGAAGCCGTCGTTCACTGAAGGTACCCCATGTGCCCAGCACTGTTGTAAAAGTACAAATACTAACTCATTTAACCCTCGCAACGACCTTGTGAGAGAGGAGTGTATGTATTCTCACTTCACTTATGAGTAGACTGAGGCAGAGAGAGGCTATGTAACTTATCCAGGATGGAGCCAGGATTCAAGCCCACGCAGTATATACTCTAGTGTACTAGAAAATGTAGCTCCTGATCTAATGGTGACAGACTAACGTGTCAGGGGTCCACATTGCTAATACTGATTGAGATTCAGCAATCAAAACTATAATCTTAATTAATAAAGCTAATAATTATAAACTAAATTCATGTAAAATTAGAAAAGCACTTCCTGCTTTAAACCACAAGCTAAGTTTTCTTTATTCATTTTGGATAGCAAGGCTTTCATTCTGAAAACTTTGAGGAACGTTGGATTTTATCGTAAACATAATAAGTGACATTAATTTTCCAGTATCCCACTACATTTCCTATTTATATAATTGAATTTCATACAAAGGATTTTTTCCAACAGGTTTCTGAGAAAAGATTATATTAAATGTGTTACTGGAATTATTTTATTTTAGTGTATTATTCAAATATATATTGTAGGGGAATATTTGCATTGATTATGGCTAGGTAGAACTGTTTTTTTCTTGAAATGGGGTCTTGCTGTGTTGCCCAGGCTGGGGTGCAGTGACACAAGCACTGCTCACTGCAGCCTCCATCTCCCAAGCTCAAGCGATCCTCCCACCTCCCCCTTCCAAGTAGCTGGGAATATAAGCAAGTGCGACCAGTCTTGCCATGCTGCCCAGCCTGGTCTCGAACTCTTGGGCCCAAGTGATCTGCCCGCATCAGCCTCCCTAAGGGCTGGGATTACAAGCATGAGCCACTGCACCTGACCAGCTGGGAGAACTTTTCTTTGCTCTTGCAAGTGTTTTAAAATGCTAAAAGTATGACTTTTGTGGACAAGTGGGAAGAGAGTTTACCTTTTAGCATTACTTCTAAGGACCAAGACTTGAAATTTTGCTTCTCCAGTGGGAGGATCTTATTCAAGAGGGACTACATGGGAGTTGTCCCTCTCCAGTGCTGATCTTGGTGGGCTCGTTACTGTTGACTTATTGAACTCAATGCTTTCCATCCCAAACATCATTTTTTGTTTCATATTTTTATGTATTGACTTCATAAATCATAGAATGTTTTATGATTTTTAGAAAGTTTGGATTTGCAATTCATTAATCTGCTTTTATTTTAAAATATGCATAATGAGCTATAAGTATATTCTTAAATTTCTAGATACAAGCACTAGCGATTACAGTAAAGAAAAAATCAAGGTATTAGCTAAAGAACAAAAGAGTTTCAAGGTCATTGCTTTATGTCTCTTTTACTTGATAAGTGTTTTACTATTCTATTTGCCTGAGGGAAACATTCCAGGAACTGTACTTCACATGCCTTAGAAGATCAATACTGCTGTTGGAGAGTAATAGTAAACATAGAATGAGAAAAAGAAATGTATAGGTTGCAATAATCCAGAAAAAACCTTTTCGGGAAGAAAACTTTTTTTGTTAGTCAACTAAAAAAAAAAAATAGCTCAAATATTAGCATTTTCTTTAAGCAACAAATAAAGACATGATTATAAGTATTAGGGCAGTGCTAAAAATGTGAAAGTCTGTAGTCAATCTTTTTCAGGTTTCCCTTAGTTCATGGCCAGGTAATAATAATCTTAGATGTCTTCATTTACATTTGACAGAGAGTTTTGTTTTTATCATGAACATATAATAAGTTATGTAACAAGGAATAATTGTTTAATTTACACATATTTTACTCAGAATGTGTTTATTCATCATGCACTTGATACATTAATTCCTTGTAAGTACATTAACCCAATGTGAGAAAATCAAACTTCTAAATTTTAAAATGATACATAAAATGGAGAACTTTTGAAGTGCAGTTTATTATATGTATTTCAGATAATGTGAATGAAATGGATAGCCATGCAAAAAGTACTAGTAATATTTTTGTGAAATTAAATATAATTAAACAATGCCATCTTATTGGCTTGAATGACATCAGCTAGTCAGCTTCAAATAGTTTCATATTTCACTAGGTTTTCATGCATCTTCATTTATTAAATAAATATATTTTTCAAAGGACAATTGCTTATTTTTCTTTTTACTTTTAAAAAGAAGAGATTTTCTGGGTAATATTAATTTCTTCATGTGATTTTGACAAATATTATCAAATATTATTTTATATTACTGATAAAATGAAACAACTTGTTTTTTGATGAGCTGAACATATGTGACATTTATAGTGAATTTATAAGACCCTGACAGAGTGCTGAGAGAGTGTGGCAGCATTGGAGTTCTGACAAGCTACAGCAGGAAGAACCAAAACAGAGGTGTTAAGGCCATGCTCTCTCAACAAAGCATCCAAGAAAACAAAACCTCTGTGCCTTTGTCAGACAGGGCTCTCCAGAGAAACAGAACCAATAGGATGTCTGTGTGCCTGTGTGTGTGTGTGTGTGTGTGTGTGTGTGTGTGTGTGTGTGTGTGTGTGTGTGTAGAGAGAGAGAGAGTTTTAAGGAATTGGCTTACCTGATTGTAAGGACTGGCAAGTCCTAGGTAAGAGGTGATATTGCAGCTGGAGTCCAGAGGTTGTCTGGAGGCAAAATTCCTTCTTTCCTAGAGAACTTCAGTTTTCTTTCTTTCTCTTACAGCCTTCAACTGATTGGATGAGGCTCACCCACGTTATAGAGTTTAACCTGCTTTACTCAATGTTTACTGATTTAATATTGATTACCTCTAAAAAATACCTGCACTGCAACATCAAGACTAGTGTTTGACCAAAAGCTGTTTACCATGGCCTAGCCAAGTTGACACATTGCAGTGCCCATTAGCAGTACCATTAGCCGAGGGTTGAGAAAAATATTACATGTCAGCTCATTTAAAATACATTTATTACATGTCTAAAGCAGTATTTAATAAGTATGATATGTGTTTCTGTATCTTTACAGACAAAATCTTTAGTAAAGTAGGTACATGTGTAAGAATCAAGAGAAGCCAAAGCTACTGGGAATGAACAAAGGTATTTAAATTGAGTGACACTGATATTTAATATAAGAATGACCTTAAAATAAATAATTTATGTAGTGAAATACAGCTTCTTTCCTGATTGTTTTTAATCAAACAGAATGAGAAGAAATGGGCTGCTCTAAAGATAAGAGCCATTGGGAGTAGATTAATAAAAGCATTTCTAGATGATGAAGTTTGAGAAAATGTTAGAAAATTCTAACGGTGGGTATTACATATATCAACTCATGATGCCACCAGAAAATATATTATTGTCAGTTGTTTCCTTCAATGAATGGCTTAGAAATACAATGTGTGTCTATGTGTGTGTGGTGTGGCATATTGATGCACACATTTTCAATGTGCTACTGTATGACATATTTATATTTAGAATTGCTTTCTAATATCTTCTTTCCTAGAATCTGAGGTGGTTTATTTTGATGGACAAAGTGCTCTGCTGTATAGACTTGATAAAAAACCTTTAAAACCAATAAGAGACGTTATTTCTTTGAAATTTAAAGCCATGCAGAGCAATGGAATTCTACTTCACAGAGAAGGACAACATGGAAATCACATTACTCTGGAATTAATTAAAGGAAAGCTTGTCTTTTTTCTTAATTCAGGTAAAAAAATACTTGAACTTTTATACCAGTAGTTAAAAAAAATCTGTTTACATTTGTTGGTACTCAGTCTTTTCACAGTTAGATAAAATGACCATATAATTCATCATCTAAACCAGAACACCTTTAAGAAATAAAAAATACACAAGTGATAGTTACTCTGGGACAGTAAGTGCAAAGTAGAACTGCAATGAACAAATGTAAATGAAAATTTAAGAGCATTACTACCAGATGCATGCAATACATACATATCCTAAGTATGATTTCTGTAAACAGCATATATTTTGACAAACTGTGCAAGATCACCATATGTGTGTATAATATATATGTAATATATGATTATCCATATCATAAAGACAATACATCATTATAAAATTATGAGATAATGCTGATAATGAGGTTCTAAGAAAGAAAATATTTGCATTGTAAATCCAAATGTCATGAGTAATAGAAAAAATACTAAGAAAAATTTCAACAAAGTGTAGAATTGAACTTAAAAAAAATAAAAACAGGGTAAGGTTATTGTGTTCAAGATAGGGAGAAAGTGAGAAAACAACTCTGTAAGATGGAAAGTTGGATGCAAACTGTGATGCTCAACTAAAAAAGGGAAGCTGTGATTTTGAACAGAAATAACTGTTTTTTTCCTTCTCCTTTAAGGCAATGCTAAGCTGCCTTCCACTATTGCTCCTGTGACCCTCACCCTGGGCAGCCTGCTGGACGACCAGCACTGGCATTCCGTCCTCATCGAGCTCCTCGACACGCAGGTCAACTTCACCGTGGACAAACACACTCATCATTTCCAAGCAAAGGGAGATTCCAGTTACTTGGATCTTAATTTTGAGGTTATTATAGATATATAGTTTAAATTAAATATAACCTGAAAAATAAGGTAGCTGCATAGAGAAATGCCATTTTATAGTAATTCATAACTAAGTTGACTAATAGTAATAGGTATGGTATGTCTGTCCCGGTACTATGAAACTGTTTATGCCTTCTAATAGGTCAGTTTATTATAATAGATCATCTTTTCCACCTTGGAAAGAAGTAAACAGTCAGTGTTAGGTTTAGGAAATCCACAAATGCAGAAATACCAAAGTAGCAAGCATTGTTATTAAATGTACTCATTTGAATATATTTCATTTGAAATTTCATCTGGTATATTACACTTGTTGTTTGACTATGCAGATTCCTGGGGGATTTTTTTTCTTGTCTTGGTGCAATCCTAACCAACATAGCATTATTTAGGATCACTTTGAGAAGTTAACAAGATATACACCAATAGATTTATTAAATAACAAGAAAAGTCAGATGCTCACATATAAATAATATCCTGATATTTTTTAAGTCATTAATGCTTTTTGCAACCCATTGCCCATATGTATCTAAGCTACACTGTTAAATAGCATCTATTCTTTCAGTCCTTTACAGGACACCTTAAAGTGTATGAAGGATCATAACAAACCAGAAAAACTGTGATATTTACTGGCGTAAGTGGCTTTGGCATATAATATTAAACTGAAGATCCTAGTCCTATACCGGATTATTCAGTTTTATTACTTTAATTTAACCATGTAATAGCAAAAGATAATATCTAATGCAGAGGTTGGCAAACTATGGGCATCAGGCCAAGTTTGGACATTTTTTAATTAAAAAAATACAAAGCCTGTTTTTGTTCAAAAGAGAAGGTTTTATTGGAACATGTTCTCTTTCTTTATGTATTGTCCGTGGCCACATTGGTACTTCGTGTCAGAGTTGAGTGCTGCAAAAGAGATCATATGACCCACAAAGGGTAAATTTACTACATGGCTGAAAATTTCAATGTGGCAGAAAATGTGTGTTGACTTCTTCCTTTTAAGTTTGTTCAAAACTGTGTGGTGCCAGAAATAAAGGTATTAACAGCTGTCATTATGATAGAACACTTCATTTGGAATAAGCAAGCATGCAAATATAAGATAATGGGAATGGATTTGTGACAGTTAGTACTAGACCTATTAATTATAAATGCTTTAAACACGTACCATCAGAAAATCACTAAACAATGTTATTTATGTCATTTTTCTTTCTAAGATCAGCTTTGGGGGAATTCCGACACCCGGAAGATCGCGGGCATTCAGACGTAAAAGCTTTCATGGGTGTTTAGAAAATCTTTATTATAATGGAGTGGATGTTACCGAATTAGCCAAGAAACACAAACCACAGATCCTCATGATGGTAAGGAAGCCTAATGGGAAGGAAAGAAAAAAGGACATTTTATTTTTTGCATTTAAAAATTATTCATGTGAAGTCTCCATTTCATCTAATATTTTAAGAATCAGTTCTTACTTTAACAGCTGCCCATGTAATATAGTAATTTAGTTTTATTTATTTATTTATTTTTAAGACAGAGTCTCCCTCTTGTCTCCCAGGTTGGAGTGCAGCGGCGCAATCTCAGCTCACTGCAGCTTACGCCTCCCAGGTTCAAGCAATTCTCCTGCCTCAGCCTCCTGAGTAGCTGGGATTACAGGCGCCCGCCACCATGCCCAGCTAATTTTTGTACTTTTAGTAGAGACGGGGTTTCGCCATGTTGGCCAGGCTAGTCTCGAATTCCTGACCTCAGGTGATCTGCCTGCCTCGGCCTCCCAAAGTGCTGGGATTACAGGTGTGAGCCACTGGGCCTGGGCCAATTTTTTTTTTTTTTTTTTTGAGACGGAGTCTCACTCTGTCGCCCAGACTGGAGTGCAGTGAAGCTCTGCCTCCTGGGTTCACGCCATTCTCCCGCCTCAGCCTCCCGAGTACCTGGGACTACAGGTTCCCACCACCATGCCCGGCTAATTTTTTATATTTTTGGTAGAGACGGGGTTTCACCATGTTAGCCAGGATGGTCTCGATCTCCCAACCTCGTGATCTGCCCACCTCGGCCTCCCAAAGTGCTAGGACCACAGGCGCACTTTTTTTGTTTTTGTTTTTGTTTTTGTTTTGAGATGCAGTCTTGCTCTGTTGCCCAGGCTGGAGTGCAGCGGTACAGTCTTGGCTCACTGCAACCTCCGCCTCCTGGGTTCAAGCCATTCTCCTGCCTCAGCCTTCCGAGTAGCTGGGACTACAGGTGTGTGCCACCACACCCGGCTAATTTTTTTTAGTACAGACAGGGTTTTGCCACATTGGCCAGGCTGGTCTCAAACTCCTGACCTCAGACGATACACTTGCCTCGGCCTCCCAAAATGCTAGGATTACAGGCACGAGCCACCTTGACCCAGCCTAATATAGTAATTTTTATTATGCATAAAAAGTTATAAAGTAAATATGCCTCATGGGACATCGTTGTTTCATTTTTATATGAAATAAAATAACTTTCTATTTTTACATGGAAATCAGAATTCATATGTCTCACGTGTTTTTGGTGTTGTTATCCACAGGAGACCAATCATTTTGCAATGGCAATCCCTAATGATCTATTCCCTAATCAACTGGAAATACTTCCAAATCAGTTAATAAACTTCTTTCAATGTTTAAAGTTTGAAATATCCAAGTTGGGGTTAAAGGGAAAGCTCATGTTTAGTTGTCAGTGTATCTCAGCAGCACATCATGGGAATATTTATTTGTATTGTTGGGAACATGTTTTCTTTCCTGTTATGTGCTGGAGGAGTTGGCTCATGGGTTGCAGGACCAAAACCTGAAAATATCTCTGACTGTGTGTCACCAGACCACACAATGAATACATCACTTAGGTTAGCATGAGAAAAAGGGAAAAACAGCTGTGAAGCCCATGAACTTTCCAAGAAGGTAAAGGAGAAAAAAAAAAAAAAAGATGGGTTTGAAGTCTAAGTTTTACTATGAACAGCACCCTGCTGAGATCATAAAAATGAAAAATACCATCAAGATACATGAAAAAGGAAACACCAAAGGGAAGAGTGATAACAAGGCTCCACAGAGTGCAGTTTCCTTTGACAAGATGAAAAAGAAATGAAAAGAGGAAGGAGATAAATGGAACAGCCCTCTACCTAAAGTTTCTGTCCATGGAGAAACTGACATTTAAGTGCTGCTCAACAGGAAAAAGAAAAAAGACCTGGTTATTGAAGTTGGCTTTGTTGGAGATGCGTTACTCAGATACAGATACAAAGATGGGTTTGGCCAATGGGCATCCGTGTCAAGAAGCCTGACCTAACACGTTCTGAATATTAAGCTACCTTTTATCTGCCAGTCCTTGGTGTTCAGAAGAATCCCTCCTCCTCACCCTAACTTCTATGGGGCTATTTACAAAGACACTGTCATTGAAGTGAGGAAGAGTGAGTTGGGCCTTATGACACAAAGAGACAAGACTATTTGAGGACAACAGACACAGGTTTTCATATACATTCCATGTTATTCTGAATTACTGATGGGTTCACTGATGGAATTATTGAGTATAGCCAATAAGGAGAACCACAATTAAGCTGGTATCTCTGGGTTCTGGATATCATCCTCAAGAAAACTATTTACTAATTACATTGAATGAGGTTATTAAAATGTGTAAGTTTCACACAAAAACAAAAAGACAATTCATTCCAAATTGTGCATATGGATATATAATGTTAATTATGGGAATTCCATTTTAAGAATTACTACAATTCTATGTGTTCTGTATAAAAACAGGAAAATAGTTGTTCCAATATATAAAAGGAAAACATTTAAAAATGTATTTTGTTGGGAAAATCAGTTGCCAGAATTCATTCAGTCAACTAACAAGCACTCCTCTGTGGCAAGAAGCCCTGCCTCTCTGTTGTAGCAGGCAGCTACCCACCTAAATGATGAGGTCAAGAAATATACAGCTGATAAAAAGATAAAAAATATGTAATAGTCCAGTGATTACATGTGTACTATGGATCAGTGCCAATTACTTGTAAGCTTTTGGTATTTAGTTTGTTACAGCAAATGTTTTCTTTTTTAAATTTTCTTCTGCAAATGTTTTCTTGTCATGAAAACTGTTTCCCATTTGGCAGAATTACAAAAACAGTCAAGAAGAAATGTTCTGATTGATGTATACAGTTAGAATGTGTATTAAAGATTATTATAAAATGATAACTGAATTATATCCATTTCTAAAGTATGTTGGGACAGAATTTTTTAAAAATGTGATTCTGTTTTGAAAATTGTTTTACCACTGGATCAGTGTGGTTCTTAAACTTGGCTTTATCTTGGAGTCACCAGAGGAGATTCAAAAGATACCATTACCTGGCTCTACCTCCAGAGATCGGGATTTTAATTGGTCTGTATCTGGATTTTAAGAGCCCTTCTGGTGATTCGACTGTTTAGCTAGGTTTGAGAGCCACTACCCTAGATTATCTGTCCTGCTCCAGTAACATTCTTTTTCTAAAATCATTTATAGTATATTAGAAATAAATCCATGGAAATTCCAAGTAAAATCAGAATTACTGGGGTTTTTCTCTGGAACTGAAATTCCTATGTGTGAATAATGCCCAAGAATTGCTTATTCCTTTCACCAGCCAAACAAAGCAAAACAAACAAACAAACAAAAACCATTTAAAAACCTAGTAAGATGTTGACTTACCAGATATTAAAGCATACTAAAAGCTTCTATACTAGAATCAGTATGGTAGTGGATAGGAACAGAGAAGTCAGTAGAACAGTCAAGATCTCAGAAAGATCCCAGTTTATGTGCAAAGTTGTTAGTAACAAGGAATGTGGCTCAATTCAGTGGAACAGGGATGAATTATTTCTGAAATTCTGCCGGAACAAACAAGTGTCCATAAGGCAGAAAATAAGCATGATCACTATCTTATACACACTAAGAATATGTAAATTAAAGAGGATGAGAAACAAACAACAATCTTAAAGAAAATCTATGAGATTGTATGTAGGACCTAGGGTAGTATGAAACTTTCTTAACAAAGATTGGAAACTCAGAAGCTGTAAAATACAATATAGACATAATTGACTATATAAAAACATCAATGTTTTCATGCTAAAAATACTATATGCAAACATTGCATATAACTATTAGATCTGAAAACCATTTGAAAGGCTGTCAAATATAACTTTCCAACAGCTAAAAATATGACCCATACAAATATCAAATAAGCATGTGTCAAAGATTTAGTCAATTCATTAATGAGGGAACCAGTAAAATAGTAAGCTGGTTCAAAAGAGATTTTGAGGATTGTGTAGAGAAGACCAAATGTTGCTCAGGAGAAAGACTGAGTATGAAAATGTCCTGTTATTTGCTGTATCCTCAGGGCTAGCACAGGGCCTGGAAAATAGCTGGCATAGATTAAACTCCTGTTGAACTAAAATTATATTGAGACTCCTTTACTAATGCTGAGAAGTAGAGAAGTGGAGAATTTCTCACACACACACAGAAAGCCACATGGATGTGTGCCCAATTATAATAATACTTATGTTGAAAGAGAAGATAAATGTTATAGATTTCAGCTTTAGCAGGCAGACTAATCCTGGATTGATAAAAAGCCTTGTACGTCTTCGTAAAATCTGGCTTTAATTAGATAGAAGCACCACCTGTAAGGCTGCTCAATGTGCTCTTTTGTTTTATTTATAGGGAAATGTGTCCTTCTCATGTCCACAGCCACAGACTGTCCCTGTGACTTTTCTGAGCTCCAGGAGTTATCTGGCTCTGCCAGGCAACTCTGGGGAGGACAAAGTGTCTGTCACTTTTCAATTTCGAACGTGGAACAGAGCAGGACATTTGCTTTTCGGCGAACTTCGACGTGGTTCAGGGAGTTTCGTCCTCTTTCTTAAGGATGGCAAGCTCAAACTGAGTCTCTTCCAGCCGGGACAGTCACCAAGGAATGTCACAGCAGGTAACAGTTGTATTCCCATAAACCTGACATATCCACACGGAAATCATTTGGTAATTAGTGAGTGAGTGAGGCAGTGAGATGCTCCATGCCCCCACTAGAGGAACAGATTGCTGTTTCCTTTTAGACTGTTCTGTGTGGTACACCCCGCTGCCACTAAAGTGTTCTTTTGACCAAAATGACTATGTATGAGAAATATGAAATGCATATTTCTGCAGACATACCTTCCCATATACAAGGAATATCCTTGAGCTCCATTTCCTGACAAACATATACCAGCCTCCATCCCAAAGAACTAGGGTCAGGACCTCATGGAACAGACAATACCTAGAGGCACATTCCTCTCCTGTCCTCCTCCTCCTTTCCCTTCTCCGCCCCGCCGCTCAGGGTCTGTGCACAAATATTCTATACACAGTAGGCAATTGATAACTATCACTTTACAGGGAAAGATGCCCGGCAAATACCAAGAGTTCTTATTCTTTCGTTGATGGCTGATTCGTTTTCTGGGATAGCTGGGCACCCTGGAAGAATCTCAGCTCCTCCACTTACTGCCCTTCTGAAATGTAAATCACGAAGCCTCCTAAGCCTCAGCTGTTTTCACTTGTGAAGTGGTAAACCTCAGATCTCCTTTGCAGGGAGAACAATAGGAAGTCTGATTTTATTAGCACAATGCCCACCCCACACACAGGCCCTCACATCCCCACTCCCCATCAGGGCCTGTTTTTGTTGGGCAAATGCTAGGTTAGGGGCTCAAATCCCATGAAGCCAGACTGAGTTACAATAGATGGGAACTAATCTCACATGCAGTCAGATGTGGGCAAGTTTGTTAACTACAGAGCTGCTGGATTTTGATGATTTTGGATTTGCAGATGGGAGGAGCACTGGGTCCTAAATTGACATTGTGCCTAAATTGGCATCGGAACTAAATGGGGGCTTTAAAAAAAAAAAAAAAGCGTAATCTGAAAAAGAAAAAGGCACAGACGAAGAGGCTGACTTCTGCTTGAGACCAGGGGGTAATCATACTCAAAAAAAGATTCCTTTTGGCTGTAAGAGGCACACGTGACTATACTGCTATTAAATGTTGTGGTATAAAAGCACGATTTCAAGACCCGTGAAGAAATTCAGAGGGCGGGGCCTTATCTCAGTACTTCTGGAACAATCAGGCAAGTCCTGGGTGTTAGAATCTATGTCCACCTCACACAGGTGTTTCAGGGGAGATAAAACAGATATTCAGAGGGGACGTATATTTTTTATCTTTTAGAAATGCAAACCTAGTTTCCATTTCCTCACGAATAAGATTTTTTCCAAGAAAGGTTAAAATCGTGACCTACACACAGATACAGAATGAACACATGTCAGAGATTTTCTTTAACTCATTGATGAGAGAACCAGTGTTAGGGAAATAAGTAAAGATAAAATGGCCCACCAACATAGTGAATCAGTTTCACAAGGTAGAAATGAAATAATCTTATTATGGAATAAGTATTAAGCCAGACTGTGATGTACATTTCAGGCAATCGCTAATGTGATTGCAAAGATAAAGAAATTTCATCCATTTATATAGCCAGGCAGATACAACCCATTACATACATGTTCTAAAGATAAAGGACAGCTTGTCCTCAAGTAAGAGGACTTGACAGCGCCGTTTGCTACACAGCCCATCTTACATTCACCTGGTGATTGGGGAGGCACACTCCTTTATGCAAAGGAAAACTAAACTCCATGTCTCTTTGACAAGTGGGTAGTTGCAACTTGGAGCCAGGCACCTACGTTAAACTCCCACGGAGACAAGGAGATAGGAGCACTGCCTTTCTTGGTGTTTACATTTCAAAGAAATGTCTCCAAGGTCCTCAAGAAAAACACTCCTGGAAACAAGAAAGAGGCTAAATAAGATTTTGTTTTAAGATTTTAAAGATGTACAATTACAAGTTTTCTGAAAGAAATGCTCTAAGGAAAAAAAGTGAATGAAAGTGTGTATCCCTTTTAGCACTAAGAAAGCTTTTGTTTGTTTTGGTTTGTGTTTACCCTTACACCAGTAAGGCCTGTTTAAAGAAGTACCACACATTTATAGTCAGAAAAGAGATGCCGACTAGCTAAACTTGTCAATATCCAAAGGGAAAGGCAAATCCCTTCCCTGTACACACTTTGCATCTCTATGGACAAGCATTATTTGCATTATTATCAATGTTCTGCAAGTTAACTTCTGTCACTACACAGCTGTAAAGTAACCTAGTCCAAGATGATGGTTTACAATCCCGTAATATCAGCTAATCTTTCCATTGAAAAGATACCCAGTAATCTCCTTTGCCCATTGCAAAGACTGCCCTCAATTTTTTTCCTATAGTAGTTGGTTCAGTTTTACTGCTGATGAGTTGCATATATTCTGGATTCAATGAAGTGCTGAACAAGCACTTCATCCAGTTCTGGGTTGCACAATAACTAGAATTAAATATAATTAAAGTTCTTAAATCTCATCAGGATTTTGCTTTAGCTCATGGCTTTGTGAGTGTGATATTTTGCCTCTGCAGTTAAAATGTTGTAGTTGTTAACAAGAGATCATCTTCATATCAAATGTGTTTAAAATAACATCTATGTTGTGGGCAATTAATTTAGTAACTTCTCATTGAAATATTTATAGATTCTACTGTATCTGATTTTCTTGTGCATAAACTATGGCCAAAGGCCAAATACAACCTAATAGAAAACAAAAATAAAACAAATGTGGATGATAGACATGAAAACAGTTATACAAAGATCTGCTTTTATTTGTCAAAAGATATTCTTAAAGAGGGCACTTTTTGCAGTTATAAAAAGAACATGTCAAAGATTTTGTTTAACTCATTAGTTTATGAGAGAATCAGTAAGATGTTACTGCTGCAATGATTTTGTGTATAATGTAAAACTGGCTTATTCCATGGGATGGGGTAGAGGAACCAGGAAGAAGTTCAATTGTATTCCTGCCAGACAAAATTCATTTGCATGTCTATGGACAATAATCATTTGCCTGCTTTCAATTTTCTACAATTCACAGGGTGGTAAAAGAATTCAAAGAAGGGGCCAGGTGTGGTGGCTCACGCCTGTAATCCCAGCAGTTTGGGAGGCCAAGGCATGCAGATCACGAGGTCAGGAGATTGAGACCATCCTGGCTAACACGGTGAAACCCCATCTCTACTAAAAATACAAAAAAATTAGCCAGGCGTGGTGGCGGGTGCCTGTAGTCCTAGCTACTCAGGAGGCTGAGGCAGGAGAATGGCTTGAACCCGGAAGGCGGAGCTTGCAGTGAACCGAGATGGCACCACTGCACTCCAGCCTGGGTGACAGAGCGAGACTCCATCTCAAAAAAAAAAAACAAAAACAAAAAAAAACTCAAGGTAAAAGGCACAGAAACCTGCAGAATCATATAATCCTCCAGATTGTGTTTAGACAATGCCTAGTTTTACATTGAAGACATCCAGAATCTTGGTTGATTTTAAAGAATAATTTATTTCCTTACACTTTATTACTACTTCTGTTTCTGTTTCATACATCACTGAAGGTTAAAAGGGAAAGCTAAAATATTAATGTTAATGTTTAATTTTTAAGAAGTACTACATTTGAAATGGTAATAATATACTAACTTCACATAAATGCATGTTAGGAAGAAAAATAAATGAAGCATAGAGTCATTTTAATAATTTACAGGTTTCCCAGGACTATCAAGTAAAATGTTAACTTTATAGGAAAATTTCTATTAGTCTAAAGTTTATTATGATATATGTAACTTCTGAAATAGTTTCAATCTTGGCCTAATTTTAAACTTCAGTGCAAAGTTAATTTAATAGGCCTCATGAAGCTAATCTTATTTTTAGCCCATTTATTGGCATGTATCTTTGACATATTATCAGGTAAAAGAAAGCACAGAATACCTCTAGTGATTTTAAATACCTTAACATTTAACTTTACCATCAAAGACAATTCATTTTGTTACCAAATTATTTGACAGGATTAATTTCATAATTACTACTAAGAATCATAAAATAATGTGGATGTGAGTGTAAATATATAAAAATATTGCACATATATAAAGTACAACTCCAGTTCTTTCCTAAGCATTTTTTATCAAATATTAAATAATAGCTTTATTTTATTTTATTTTATCTTTTTGAGACAGTGTCTCACTCTGTCACCCACACTGGAGTACAGTGGTGTGATCTCAGCACACTGCAACCTCCACCTCCCAGGTTCAAGTGATTCTTGTGCCTCAGCCTCCGAAGTGACTGGGACTATAGGCTAGTGCCACCATGCCCAGCTAATTTTTTGTTTTTTAGTAGAAATGTGGTTTCACCATGTTAGCCAGGCTGGTCTTGAACTCCCGACCTCAGGTGATCTGCCCGCCTCAGCATCCCAAACTGCTGGGATTACAGGCATGAGCCACCATGCCCAGCGAATAATAACTTTTAAAAGACAGTATAATTATATCTATAATCATAATTTGTTAATTCAGAAACACACGAATATATGTTAAAGATTTTAACTAATCTATGAAGAAACCAGTAAGATGTTACAATCAGTTCGGAGGATAATTCAAAGTACTACACATACAGGCAGATAAGAAATGCCAAAATGAATTACAGACAGATATGAAATGGTTCAGTAAGCAACTGCACCTCGCCAGGCACTAGTCATTTGTATTTCTATGGGTACAAGTCATTTTGCATTACTATCAGTTTTCTACAATTTACAGGGCTGTAAAATAGCTCAGACAGTGAAAGCAGGGTTTACCTTAATTAATAGGTGCAGTAAGCCAGACATCCAGTGATCTTCCATTTCAAATCCTGTCACACCCCATAAGTATGTGCAATTATGTGTCAACTTTTTCTAAAAAAAACTTTTCACAATCATTCTTGACGTATTTTTTATCAACTCACTTTCTTGATTCTTGTAAAATGTTTTTGTTAGATTCAGTAAAGCAAGTAAGTTTTGCATTTGAAGATTAAACCAAACTGTGTTGTTTTTATCCCATTGTAAAGGCTCCTACTGTATATATTTGATAATTAAATTCTAGTTACTTTAAGCAAATTACCAGAATTTGTTACAGTGATTCTTCAGAAAGAGTAATATTTTTATTCATGTGTTATTTTCGTAATAAATGAAATTTTTAAATTAAAGATAGGTGGTTAATTTTTTTTTCAGTGATACATGAACATGTAAATACCACTCTTCTCTGACTTATTCAGTGATCTGAATCAAATTGTTTTCAAGTGTTTACAGAGCTCATAATTTAGAGTTGTCTCTGACTGATTGTATTTCCTCCAGGTGCTGGATTAAACGATGGGCAGTGGCACTCTGTGTCCTTCTCTGCCAAGTGGAGCCATATGAATGTGGTGGTGGACGATGACACAGCTGTTCAGCCCCTGGTGGCTGTGCTCATTGATTCAGGTGACACCTATTATTTTGGAGGTAAGAGAAGGCAACTGAATGACACTGGCAGTGGAACCACTTTTTATCTTTATTGCTTTGCATTTTGAGTCTCTAGTCAAATTTAAACCAAGTTGATACTAAGAAATAATTTATCTCTAGCCATGAAATTAATACCTTTTGAGTTTATAAAAAACATGAAACATTTAATCAGTTTTTCTTCCCAATACAAAAATAAGTATCTGCAGAAAGTTTACTTGCTGTTTAAATAACTTCATATTTTCATTTAACATTAAAAGAAAAATATATTTGAGCTACATGTAGTAAATAAGTGGAAACTTTCAAACAATATCATAGTCATATCTCTACAACAGATAAATCCATTTATACTTCTAACAGTTAGCTCATAAAAACAAAACAAATCGTACTGTCTGAAGTCATTGGCTTACATAAAATATTACTTATATATTTAAGTCTACATCTAAATCTATACTATTGAATCATTATTAGTACACAGCTCAGTTTATAGATAGATGGATAAATATTTTTTACATGGAGAAGGCGTAATAGGAAATATACTGATTATGAAGTACTTTCAAAACATTGACAATGTAAACAAATATTAATTAATAGGAGACAAACATATTAAATGAATCCAGTATAATTGGTGTTACACTGGTGCAAAGTATTGAATGTTTGCTTCCCCACCCCAGATTCATATGTTGAAATCCTGACCCCAAAGTCATGGTGTCAGGAGGCTTTGGAGGGTAATTAAGTCAGGAGGGTGGAGCCCTAATGAATGGAATTAGTGCCCTTATAAAAGAGGCCCAAGAGAACTCCCTTGCCTTTCCTGCCATGTGAAGTTATAAGGCGAACACTGTGGTCTGTGAAGCAGACACTGCATCTGCTTTGCCTCAAACTCAGACTTAGACTTTCCAGCATCCAGACTGAGAGAAATAACTGTTTGTTGTGTAAGCCACTCTGTTCATGGGATTCTGTTAATAGCAGCCCAAACTGACTATGAGAACTCATACAGCTAAAGAAATGGAAACAAGTGGATCTTTTGATTATAAAGGAAGTTTGGATTTTTTTAAATTAAAAGAACCACTAGGAATAACAGCAAAACCCTGCTATGTATTCTAGAATGCTCCTGTGAATCCAAAGATTAAGCTTTTATATCTGGAAACCACAGTTAAGAGAAACAATCATGTGAGAAAACTTATCACTTGGGGGCATGGATGCCTGTACATTACAACATTCTGTTATCATCCCATATCACCACATATATGATAAGAAAACTCACTCTCGAGTAAGAAAGTTTTCAACTACGTATGAAATTCCATGCTGGACACAGATACAGAGAGCCACTTGCACTGTACCTAAACACTGAAGTGTTACTGAGGTAACTTAATTACTTGTAATTCTTACTGGAAAGGTAAATATATTCAGCCTTTCTTAGTAATAAAAATTGTATGTAAACAGAAGTATAGATCTAGTAATAGAGACTTGTTATATACATGCAGTCCTGTACATTGCATTTTACCTCATCAGTATTTGTGGTATTTCGCAAAGAATATATACTTTTCCAAATATACAGCCACAGACATTCAAAGACTTCACTGAGCTGTCCTCTGGCACACAGGTGTATTTAAATTGTTAAAGAAAATTAAAATGGCCTGAGGTATCTCTGACCAGACAAAGCCTTTTAAGTGGCGTTAACTTTGCTTGATTTACCAATATAAGCAAAACTTGAGCTATTTCTTGTAAATGTCTTTAAAAATAAAAAAAGTCAAACTTAAGGCTAACCAATCAGAAGCCAATTAACTTATATAACTAGAGACTTTCCAGCAGGATCAACCAAATAAGGCAATTGTATAAGTACAACCAGTGAAAAATTTGCTACTATATTTACCTTACAGAAGCTGTCCCTTTTTGTTCCCTTGAAAGGGTCCCTGAACCAGTTCCCATTTGAAGCTGCTTCAACAGTGATTCATGAATCACTGTTAGCTCAAATAAACTTTTGTGCCTCCATTTACCTTTTATTAATGGATACATTTATATCTGTAGTTGGATGCTTTTTTCCTCTAAGCAGACACAAAGTAAAACTGAAGAGCTTAAGATTTTTATTTATTTATTTATTTTTATTTTTTGAGGCGGAGTCTCGCTGTGTCCCCCAGCCTGGAGTGCAGTGGCGCGATCTCGGCTCACTGCAAGCTCTGCCCCCCCGGTTCACGCCATTCTCCTGCCTCAGCCTCCTGAGTAGCTGGGACTACAGGCACCCACCATCACATCTAGCTAATTTTTTGTATTTTTAGTAGAGACGGGGTTTTCACCATGTTTGCCAGGATGGTCTCGATCTCCTGACCTTGTGATTTGACTGCCTCGGCCTCCCAAAGTTCTGGGATTACAGACATGAGCCACTGTGCCAGGCCAAGATTTTTAAAATTAGTTAATGCCTTCGTGTATCTTGAGTGGATGATAACATAGGAGTCCTCAGAAAAATGCAGACATGCCTGCCAACCTTTTCAGAAGAGCGAAGTTGGCTTAAGGAATCATCATCGGTCCAAGATTGTTAGTGATCTGAGAAATTTCATGTGCTGAGGATGATGCCAAATTAAGGGTTTCCAAGTATGAGTACCAGGATACCTCCTATACCTGCTGTCAGCCATATGTGGTATCGACAATTGCCTCTAACAAAATTTTTCCAAACCAAGTAGAAAAAAACAGTAAACAGAACAGAGATTTTTTTTTTATTAGGATGGGACTGAAATCTGTCCCTCCTTCAGGATGAGGGCTGTAATCTGTGTGACAGAAACAGATGACAGAGTTTGATCCACACTACTTTGTTTTCAGAGCTGCTAGCCCAGATGGAATAGGTCCAGAAAGAAACTAATGAAATAAGCAATAGAAAATCTCAAACATTATAGTCTTTGACAATGTATATTCATATATAATTCCCATTTCCTTCAGAAAATACGTGTTGCTTCTCTTTTTTTTTTAAACTTATTTTAGGTTCAGAGGTATACATGTGCAGGTTTGTTATATAGGTAAATTGCATGTAATGGGGGCTTGGGGTACAGATTATTCCATCACCCAGGTAATGAGCATAGTACCTAGTAGGTAGTTTTTCGATCTTCACCCTCCTCCTACCCTCCACCCTCAAGTAGGCTGTGGTGTCTATTGTTCCCTTCTTTGTGTCATGGGTACTCAATACTAAGCTCCCACTCCTAAGTCAGAATACATGGTATTTGGTTTTCTGTTCCTGTGTTAGTTCACTTTGGATAATGGCCTCCAGCTCCATCCATGTTGCTAGAAATGACATTATCTCATCTTTTTTTATGACTACATAGTATTCCATGGTATATATGTACATTTTCTTTACGCTACTGTTGATGGGTATTTAGGTTGATTCTATGTCATTGCTATTGTGAATGAACATGCACGTCTGTGTGTCTTTATGGTAGAAGGATTATTATTCCTTTGGGTGTGTACTCAATGGGGTTGCTGGGTTGAGTGGCAGCTCTGCTTTAAGTTCTTTGAGAAATCACGAAACTGCTTGCTGCAATGGCTGAACTAATGTATAATTCCCCCAGCAGTGTATAAGCACTCCCTTTTCTCCACAGCTTTACCAGCACCTGTTATTTTTCGCCTTTTAAATAATAGCAATTCTGACTGGCGTGAGATGGTATCTCATTGTGGTTTCGATTTGCATTTATCTCATGACTAGTGATGCCGAGGAGTTTTTCATATGCTTGTTGGCCACATGTATGTCTTCTTTTGAAAAGTGTCTGTTCATGTCCTTTGCCCGTTTTTTAATGGGGTACGTTTTTTTTCTTTCTTGTTAAGTTCCTTATAGATTCCAGACATTAGACCTTTGTCAGATGCATAATTTGTGAATATTTTCTTCCAGTAGGTTGTCTGTTTACTCTGTGGATAGTTTCTTTTGCTGTGCAGAAACCTTTAGTTTAATTAGGTCCCATTTGTCAACTTTTGTTTTTGTTGCAATGTTTTCGGTGTCGTTGTCATGAAATTTTTGCCATGTCCTGTGTCCAAAATGGCATTTCCTATATTTCCTAGGTTATCTTCCAGGATTTTTGTAGTTATAGGCTTTACTTTTTTTTTTTTTTTTTTGAGACTTTAGAGTCAGTCTCACCTGTTGCCCAGGCTGGAGTGCAATGACACGATACAGCCTCAACCTCCCAGGCTTTAAGAGGTTCCCCCACCTCAGCCTCCTGATTAGCCTGGACTACAGGCACGTGCCACCACATCCAGCTAATTTATTATTATTATTATTATTATTATTATTATTATTATTATTGTTTGTAGAGACGAGGTCTCGCTATGTTGCCCAGGCTTGTCTCAAACTCCAAGGCTCAAGCTATCCTCCCACCTCACCCTCCCAAAGTGTTGGGATTATAGGCGTGAGCCACTGCACCTGACACGTTTTACATTTTATTCTTTAATCCATCTTGAGTTGATTTTTGTATATGGTGTAAGGAAGGGGTCTAGGAACTGCTTATGGTTAGCCAGTTATCCCAGCACCATTTATTGAATAGGGAGTCCTTTCCCTACTGCATGTTTTTGTCGACTTTGTTGAAGATCAAATGGTTTTAAGTGTGTGACATTATTTCTGGGCGCTCTATTCTGTTCCATTGGTCTGTGTGTCTGTTTTTGTACCAGTACTATGCTATTTTGGTTACTATAGCCTTGTAGTAGAGGTTGAAGTTGGCTAACGAAATGCCTCCAGATTTGTTCTTTTTGCCTTGGATTCCCTTGGCTATTCAGGCTCTTTTTTGGTTCTATATTAATTTTAAAATAGTTTTTACTGGTTCTTTGAAGAATGCCATTGGTGATTTGATAGGAATAGCATTGAATCTATAAATTGCTTTGGGCAGTATGGTCCAATATGGTTAAAAACCATATTTATTATTCCTATCCGTGATTATGGAATGTTTTTCCATTTGTATGTCATCTATGATTTCTTTGAGCAGTGTTTTGTAATTCTTCTTGTAGAGATCATTCACCTCCCTGGTTAGCTGTATTCCTAGGTAGTTTATTCTTTTTGTGGTCATTGCGAATAGGATTGCATTCTTGATTTGGCTCTCAGCCTGCATGTTGTTGGTATATAGGAATGCTACTAATTTTTGTACATTAATTTTGTATCCTGAAACTTTGCTGAGATTATCAGATCGAGAAGCTTTTGGGCAGAGACGATGGGGTTTTGTAGGTACAGAATCATATCATCTGCAAACAGAGACAGTTTGACCTCTTTTTCTCCTATTTAGATGCCTTTTATTTCTCTCTCTTGCCTGATTGCTCGGGCGAGGACATCCAGTACTATGTTGGGTAGGAATAATGAGAGAGGGTATCCCTGTCTTGTCCCAGTTTTCAAGGGGAATGCTTCACATCTTTTGCCCATTCAGTATGATGCTGGCTGTGGGTTTGTCATAGGTGGCTCTTACTATGTTGAAGTATGTCCTCCAATGCCTCATTTGTTGAGGGTTTTTAACATGAAGGGATGTTGAGAAAATACCTGATGCTTCTCTAGAGACAAATATATGAAAGCAAACAACATTTCATGAAGGAATGAGGAATATTTTGTGGCAGCAAGAATGAGAATGACTCTCCAAGATGCCCTGGAAACTGAATATGTTACATCACATAAGGGATTTTGCAGATGTAATTAAGGTTGCAGACCTTAGGAGACGATCGTGATTCATGCAGTGGGCTCCATGTAATCACATGAGCACTTAAGAGATTTAACTCTGGTTGGAGGCAGAAGAGACACAGAAGAGAGGTGTGGGTGAGGGGAAGCCAGAGAAACTAGAAGCAGGAGAATGTCTCTCTGCACCATTGCTGGTTTAGAAAATGAACTGGGCACTATGAAGAGCAATGCAGGCAGCCTGACATTGCTGAGAGGCCCCAACTACCAGCCAGTGATGAATTGGGACCTCACTCCTACAACTACAAGAAGTTGAATTCTGCTCTAACCTGTATGTGCTTGGACACACATTCTGCCCTAGGGCCTTCATAAGGAGCCCAAGAGCACCTTGATTTTGTCCTTGTAGGACTATAAGCAGAGTCATCAGTCCAGCCCTCCCACACTTCTAAAGTGAGAGATAATAAAGAGAATATTTTAGTGATTTGTTACAGTGATGATTAAAAGCTGATACACATTCCAACCTCCATCAGATCCATTTACAGACATTCCCATTCAGTTCTAAACCCTTGGACAATGGCCAAAAAAAAAAAAAGCTTTCCTCAAACACACCCTGAGAATATACTGAAAAAGATTACATATATCTATCTATCTATCTATCTATCTATCTATCTATCTATCTATCTCCAGGCGTGGTGGCCCACGCCTGTAATCCCAGCACTCTGGGAGGCTGAGGCCGGCGGATCACCTGAGATCAGGAGTTGAAGACGAGCCTGGCTAACATGGTGAAACCCTGTATCTACAAAAATACACACACAAAAAAAATTTAGCCGGGCATGATGGCAGGTGCCTGTAATCCCAGCTACTTGGGAGGCTGAGGCAGGATAATCACTGGAAAAAAAAATATATATATATATAAAATGTTTTTTAAAAATATATATATATATAATATTTTTAAAATATATATATATGACCAAAGAGAATAGTTTCAACAGAAAGTCAAAATAGCCAACACAGTTTCTGTGTTTTATTTTGTTTGGATTGTGTATGGCCTTCGAGTGAAGTAACATACATGATCATGAACCATATAGGGACACAGCGACAGAAATGGGAAGGCTGATCCATGATCATACATGCATACATAGGTACACTATGGATTCCAAAGTCCCCTTTGACCTGAAAGTGTGAGAAGAGCCCATAACCCATTTGAAACAGATACGCAGCAACCACAACCCAAATTGTATATGCATAAGTAAAGTTGTCCTTATTTCAGAGATGATATTATGGATTGAATTGTTTTCCCTCAAATTCATATGAACTCCAGAATGTGACCTTGTTTGGAGATAAGATCTTTGCAGAGGTAATCAAGTTAAAATGAGGTCATTAAGGTGAGCTCCAATCCAATATGACCAGTGTCCTTATGAAAAATGGAAATGGAGGTGCAGAGACACACAGAGAGGGAAGACGCTGGGACAACATGCAGGAACAACGCCTCAGGAAGACAGAGGCCTAAAGTGTTACACCTGCAAGGCCAGAGCTGTTTACTGGGTTCCTCCCTGACGCCACCTCCCACCTGGGGCTGAACCTGACCCAGACCTTACCACCCACTGCTGCTACACTGCCATAAATCCCTTTTTTAAAAAAATTAAAATATTTATTTGACAAATAAAAATTCTGTATATTTAAGGTATACTATGTGACGATTTGATATAGGTATTCACTGCGTTCTGATTACCACAGTCAAGTTGATTAACACATCCATCACATCACACATAGTTACCATGTTGATGGCAGAGGGGAGTGAAGTCATTACAAATCTGCTCTCTTACCAAATTCCAGGTAAATAACACAGTATCATTATGTATCACCATGCTGGATCATCATGCTGGATCCCTTTTGTTTCATGGGGTTGTATCACCATGAAACAGTATCACCATGCTGGATCCCTTTTGTTTCATGGGGTTGTTGAAAAAAGACTACAGATTAAGGACTGAAATGCATGTCTTCCAGATAGGCCTAAATAAAAGATCACACTCAGGAACCGATTTTAAATAGACCACCCTTTATGGAGCTTCCCTTCATCATTCTGCCCAACGGAATTTTAACAGTGCGAAATGAGTGCCGTTACCTTTTCCACTGCTTTATGTGCTGGTTTTATTGCACCATACAGGTATCCCCAGAGACTCGGCTCCTCTGGAGCATCTTATTGATTTCCCACTGCGGCATGAAGAAAGGCCATGCTTTGCCCAAAGTGCCTAATAGTTTTACTCAGTCGGTTATTTCAACTTATTTTTATTGCCCAGTAATGATGCAGTGAAACATTTTACCAAGTCAGGGAGCGCATCAGCCTTTCCTAGACAATAATAAACAGAATATTTGCCAGCTCAGTCAATGATTGAGTACAGCCAAGAGACACTGCAGCCTAAGAGAGGGCAGTCAGAGTGGGGAGGTCACAGAAGGGTGCAATAAATCTTCTCCCCAGGGATGTTTACTCAGAAAGTCCTTGGTCATTAGAAATGTCATTTAACTCTGTAAATAATAAGATACATTTGCTAATCAATGCTTGAGGTGCTTCTTGAGAGTATTAGTATAGTTTTGCATTTTACTATTTTTTTTTCCAGAATCCTTTTAAAATTATGTTGGAGACAGCACAATATGAAAGTAAAATTCGGCCAGGCACAGTGGCTCACGCCTGTAATCCCAGCACTTTGGGAGGCCTAGGCGGGTGGATCACAAGGTCAAGAGATTGAGACCATCGTGGCTAACATGGTGAAACCCCGTCTCTACTAAAAATACAAAAAAAAAAAAATTAGCTGGGCATGGTGGTGGGCGCCTGTAGTCCCAGCTTCTCAGGAGGCTGAGGCAAGAGAATGGCATGAACCTGGGAGGCAGAGCTTATACAGTGAGCTGAGACTGCGCCACTGCACTCCAGCCTGGGTGACAAAGTGAGACTCCGTCTCAAAAAAAAAAGTAAAATTCATCCCTAAAATTGGCTGTCAGCATGGAAATTATAAAACTCATTTTCTAAACTCTAACAGTCCTTCAGAGCAAACTTTCCACAGAGCAACTGTGAAAACAGACAATGTCAATCTGCAAAGTTTCTGATTGTTTTCTTTCCTCATATTCCGAGGTGTGCATATGTGCCTCAAATTGTATTAAAACATTTGCTATAGATGACAGATTTTATAACAAAAAACAAGCCAATATATCCAAGACCTATCATTTCAAAAGTAAAATATTTAGGAAGCACTAAAAGGGATAAGAATGAAAGTACTATTCATTTTTTTAAGTGATACTAAATAAAGTTGATTACAGAAAATGATTTGTCAAAGTATAAATATAGTATCACCTTTAGGGTTTAAATTCTACAGGTGAGATTTTATAACGTCCTGTTATTCAAGAGCCCATTTCCATAAATATATACATGCTAATGTGAGAAATGTTTTTGTGTTATTTTTATGCATATCATAATTTTATTCATTTTTACTGTGAAATAGATCATATATGTACAGTTAAAAATATTGCTAATTTTTCAAAAGAATGTATATATTGTTACATGAATATACCACATTTTATCAGTTCTACTGTCCCATTTTGCTATTGTTAGGCAATTTTCATTTTTGCTTTTAGATTTGCTTTATAAAATTTAGGGGGGTGGTGTTTCGTTGTTTTGCTTTTTTTTAGACAGGGAGTCACTCTGTTGCCCAGGCTGGAGTGCAATGAAGCAATCACAGCTCACTGCAGCTTCTGCCTCTCCAAGCTCAAGCACTTCTTCCACCTCAGCCTCTGGAGTAGCTGGGACTGCAGGCCTGCACCACCACACCCAGCTAATTTTTGTTGTTGTTGTTTTTCTTCGTATTTTGTAGAGACAGAGTTTTGCCATGTTGTTCAGGTTGGTCTGAGGTGATCCACCCACCTCAGCCTCCCAAAGTGCCAGGATTACAGGCATGAGCCACCATGCCCAGCCTAAAATTTAGTTTTTAAAATATTCTTAACATACCTAGTTTTTCCAGTGAATTTTGCATTCCTTGTGTGTGCTTTTGTAACTTTATTTACCCATCTGTATAGTAAACTTCGGGAAACACCAGCTCTAACCACCATGTTTAACAGCATAAGCTGGTTGTTAAATTTTACTGATGTATGTAAACCCAAAATAGATCATTTCTTCACATAGAAACAGCCTTTGGTTCCGCTAGTATTCATTACTCGTTTTAGTAATTTAAAGACCACATGACCCAAATTCTTCTTGAATGCTGTGCAGTGCACTGAAAGAGACTAATAAGCCCTTTTCTGTTTTCTAAGCAAATTTACTTCTTGGGATATTTCTGTTCATATGGTTTCCTATGACACATAGCATCACTAAGAGTCAAATAAGTGAAACTGAAAACATTAAAATTAATCCTGTAATCCAGTTTTAATAATGAGTTCGTTTCATTATGTTTCTTTTTCCTTTCCATTTGTTTTATACTGGCCTGAAGAAAACAGGCTTGATGGATAAAATCCACAGTATTTTCTTCCTAACTAGCTTATATATTTAGAATGGCCTGAATATGTACAGCTGCAGACACTAACTTCATTCCTACAGTATAATATCTACCAATGATTGAAACTAGTCAGCTGCACATTTTATTTATTTATTAAAAAGGATTTGGATTTTTATACAATATTTAAAAACCACAAAATGAAAAGGGATCAATCAACGTATACCTTGGAGGTCCTTCCAAGAGTCTCAGTATCTAACAGCCATGGAGGCTGTGACCTTTTTCCTTCTTTTCTCAGCCTGCTGGTCATTTAAGGGTCACCAGAGATGACTCATGCTCTAGTTCTTAAAATCAAACTTGTTCCACCAAATCCAAGATGCTGAATTTGTACAAATGTAAAAACATCCTCTTGCCACCTGTCCACCAAAATACCTTCTATTCAAGTGAACAACAGCTTTAATTGCTGACTCAACTCTCAAATTCTAAAAAGGTCTGTACTGCTTCATCATCAGGGACACCAAGAATTTCACATATCACACGTTTTCCAACTTTGCCATATTTTTCATGGCAAAATTGGGAAATACCATGGACTTTATCCATCAAGCCTGTTTTCTCTGAGCCAATATAAATTGACAATGGAAAAGAAAAAGAAACATAACAGAATGAACTCATTATGAAAACTAGATTAACTATACTCTTTTCAGTTTCACTTATTTTATCCTTAATGATGCTATGTCTCATAGGAAACCATATCAACTGAAAAATATGTCATCACACATTCTTCTCTGGTTTCAACTTCCAAGTCTTCTTCCACCTCCCCTTCACCAACCATGTTCCTTAGTAGGACCACCTTAGTAGGACTCAAGTATTTCAGTCAGTGGATTTGTACCTGATCCTTCAATGCATCTTTCTCTGCGGCGTCGCCCACGATGATCTTGCCGCCTGATCTGCTAGTCTTCCCCACCGGAAAGGCATCTCGCAGCCCCTGCAGGTGCTCCCCGAGGCCCCGGCCTTCCCGGAAGCCGCGCTTCTGCATGATGTTGTGCGCCACCGTTCCCACCACGTTAGCGAGGAAGGAGCTGCTAGGCCGGTTTGGAGATCTCAGTCTGTCCTGTTCCTCCTTCACTGGGGGAGGAATGGCTGCTTTGGAAGACCATGACTGAGGTCTTGAATCCTCTTCATAAGGAAAATCTCGGGGTGACTCTTGGTCTTTCTCTACCAGAGAAGTGGGAAGGGCAATGGCAGCTCCACCCTACTACTTTTCCTCCTCTCTCCCTCCTAATCTTCCCCTTCATCAGAATCTGGATTTGGTCGCCTTGATCAGAACTCCCCTAACTTCTTGCCTGTCTTCAGGCCTCTTTTCCCTTTCTTCTATTTCCTTTCATATTTCTAGCTCCTGCTGTGTCTGTCGTTCCTCTCTCTGGCACTTCACTACTTTCTCATAATCATAAGGGAACATAGGATCATATTCGTCAGCTAAGGGAATCAGAACGTCCCCTGCAAAAATCCACTGGGAGCAGGATCCTTCAGCCCAGCTGCTGCATGCCGTGGTGTGTCCCCAATTTGCAGGTCATCTGAGGAGCCGCCTGGCCTTAGGTCAATGACTGGCAAGAGCTGCACTGTTTCTAACTTTGGCTCTTTCCCTGAGTGAGAGCTGCCTTCCTCACCTGAAGCTGAGACTGCAGAAGTTTGATGTTTTGGAACCAGCCTTCTGCTTTTGAGTCACTGGTCTCCACTCTCAGGCCATCGTATGGGGGCATCTTTTTTTTTTTTCTATTTAATGTTGCCCTGCTGACTCTACCCATGGGTAGCCAGGTTAATATGAAGAAATGAAGAAGAAGAAAAACCCACCAATTTCCTGATGCCAGATAAATGGAAAATGTTATTTGCACCAAAGAAACCTTGAGAGACTTGGAACAATCACTGGTGGATGTGGATTTCTGGATCTCACTAGATTTATTTTAATAGAAAGTTTAGGCCAGACGCGGTGGCTCTCACCTGTAATCCCAGCACTTTGAGAGGCTGAGGCGGGTGGATCATCTGAGGTTAGTAATTCAAGACCAGCCTGGCCAACATGGTGCAACCTTGTCTCTACTAAAAATACAAAGATTAGCTGGGCATGGTGGCGGGAGCCTGTAGTCCCAGCTACTGGGTAGGCTGAGGCAGGAGAATTGCTTGAACCTGGAAGGCAAAGGTTGCAGTGAACCGAGATGGTGCCACTGCACTCCAGCCTGGCAACAGAGTGAGACTCTGTCAAGAAAGAGAGAGAGAGAGAAAGAAAGAGAAAGTCTAATTCGCAGATGCAGACTTACCTTCTGTACTGTCATTTGTCCATTCTTTTTTTTCTGGTCTGTGATTTCATCTTTTTGAAGTGTTTTTCAAGCAGCACTCTGTACGGTTGCAGGTTGTGCATATAGCCTGCATTTTTTTGCATTCATGCCTGAAATAGAGATTGACTGAAGGTCAAATTCTTTTAAACTTACCTTTATGGAATCTTTCTGCTATTCAATGCCATGCCTCCTTCCATGATATTGAGAATACAAAATTGACTGTTGTGTCGCCAGTCCTCACATCCTTCTTGTAGGAAGCTGCTAGACTGAGAACTTGTGGCAACATTGCATTGAAGTCTGTCACTGCAATAACACACAGTGACAATTTTCTTGCCAACCTCATATGCTTACACAAGTTAAAATAACCGGGCTAAAATTTTCATGGGTCTTAATATCTTTATTTGTTTGATTTCATATCCATGCAGTACTTTATGATTAGAATTTGTCCTGAAAGTTTCATAACTTTTTGTGGGACACCTGGATTTTAGTTTTTTTTTTCTAACAGAGTTATTGAATTCATTTTCTTTTAAGAATAACCTGGCTGGGCGCTGTGGCTTACACCTGTAATCCCAGCACTTTGGGAGGCCGAGGCAGGTGGATCACGAGGTCAGGAGATCAAGACCATCCTGGCTAATATGGTGAAACCCCGTCTCTACTGAAAAAAAATACAAAAAAAAAAAAATTAGCAGGGTGTGGTGGCGCGTGCCTGTAGTCCCAGCCACTCGGGAGGCTGAGGCAGGAGAATGCTGTGAACCTGGGTGGTGGAGCTTGCAGTGAGCAGAGATCACACCACTGCACTGCAGCCTAGGCGACAGCACGAGACTCAGGTCTCAAAAAAAAAAGATAACCTAAGTTATGTGTCAGGAAACACCACATGGTGAAAGAAAGATTAGCAGAACTGTTGATATTCCTATAATTCATTACTGGAAAATATTTATTGAATTAATAATCCTCTTAATTCTTAACTTAATGTGTTTATTTCTTAATGATTAGTGAGATGCAGAATTATACAAAGTTCACTCTCTATCCCATTCTTCAGAAGGTTCTGCTGTACCATTTAAACTTATATTTCTTTTGTAAATATAAAAATATAAAAGATTTTAGTCTTCAAACTTTTAAACAAATATGGTGTTAAATGTTAAACTTCCAAGTGTCTGTGAGGTTATGTATAGTTTCGATAAGCTAAAAAGAAGCCTTAAATATGAGGGAGGCTTTTACTTTAGAAATCTAAAGCAGAAAATATTAAAGTTAAAGAGATAAAGCTTCAGTTATTAAAATAGAAATCTAAACACAACATTTAATTTTTATGGAACTTTCAGGGAGGAAATAAGAGTACAGGCATTGAGGGGTGCTTCATTTATTCCAGTAAGAGGAATCTTCATTGACTATTTTTTGAAATTGTGCTAGTGATTAACAGTATAAGGTCAAAGAGAGGTCAATGAAAAACACATAAGTACAAATTCTATACTTCATTTTTTTCATTTTAGTGAACACTGTAAAGAAAACTCAATCCTCTAGTGATAAATATTGATGTATATTTACTATAATCTTTGGAGAAAAGGGTATTTGCGTGGACTCAAAGTGTCATGCCAATATTAGGTTTAATACCTAATATTTGAATGATTGGGAAAAGAAAGTAAGAAATTATATCTCACAAGTTTGAAAGAGACAATACTTACAGAATCAATATAAGCAGGCTTCTTTTTTAAAATAAGGCAAAGGATAAAATTTTTAAAAGCTATATAATTTCATAATATACAATTTAGTTATTCAATTTCTCTTGTCATTGGCATTACACCATTATGAAATGAGGTGCCTCTTTCATATTTGTATGTTAAAATTAAGTATTCATTTAGATCAGAGGTAGACAAATCACGGTCTATGGCATATTATATAAGCCGAAATGAATAATTGCTTTGTATTTTTATTTATTTATTTTTTTTTATTTGAGAAGAAGTCTCGCTCTGTTGCCCAGGCTGGAGTGCAGTGGCGCCATCTCGGCTCACTGCAAGCTCCGCCTGCTGGGTTCACGCCATTCTCCTGCCTCAGTTTCCCGAGTAACTGGGACTACAGGCACCCACCACCACGCCCAGCTAATTTTTTTTTGTATTTTTAGTAGAGACGGGGTTTCACCGAATTAGCCAGGATGGTCTCGATCTCCTGACGTCATGATCCGCCCGCCTTGGCCTCCCAAAGTGCTGGGTTTACAGGCATGAGCCACCGCGCCCAGCCCTGCTTTGTATTTTTAAAGGGTTATAACAAGAAGGACATGCAACAGAAACCAGGTGTGACCCACAAAACCAAAAGTGTTTACTATCTGCGTTTTACAGAAAACCTTTGCAGACTCCTGACTTAGACAAATGCCTTATGATTTTATTCTGAATTAATATGACTCTTTCTACAAACAGTTGTCTTTAAATAAAAAGATTTTACAGTTATTGTGTTTTCTTTAACTAGAGTGTGTACTTTCATCCTTTTCCTTACTTTTCAAACTTACAGTTCCATTATTAGGTTATATATTGTAACTCAGAGGGTGGGAGTAAGTTCAAGACACTACTTTCCTATATGCTTGGACTGGTGTGGAGTAATACTGCTTACGTCAAAGTCAGGCACTCACCACTGCTTCTTATAAGTACTGTTCTTGTTTCACAAAACAAGCCCACATAGTAAAGGGAAGTGATGTCATAAGCATTGCCATTTGTAATTTAGGTGAAATTAGCTGACGGTTGTAGTGAAACTTTTAATATTTAACTTCTAATATTGGAAATAATCAAATGTCTATTTTATCTCTTTCTATTCATAGAACATTCTGGACTGCAAATTTTTATCCTTATGTACCCTAACAGTGTGTTAGGTCCTGTTACTTTTTGTGTTGTTGTTAACATTAGAATTTAATCTTTAGTTATATATTTGACTAAAGTACCTAATACCAAAGAAAGTGTTACTAGAAAAGCAAATCTAGGTATTTCCACCCAGTCAGTATAAAAAAATACGTTTTTAAATACTCCCAAATATACATACATCGCAACACACAAAAACACCTATAGGGTAGATATTTAACATATTTTAGATAAATGGTAGTACACAATTATATTTTCAGGTAGCATTTTTCACATTTCACAGCATATCCTAAATAAAATTTGGCCTATGATTTCATTTATTTTAATTTAACCTCCACTTTAATTTTTTTCACTTACACTACATAATGCTAAAATGCATGATTATTTCTTAGATGAGATTTCACAAAAGAAGCCAAACCTCTTTTCACTTGGTTGGGAAATAATTCCTGTTATAGGAATTTTAGATCTGAATTTTCCCCCATAATTTCTTATTCTGAATTCCAGGTATTATCTTAAATTTGATCAGTTCTAACCTTGCCCCTTCTCACCTCTCTAATGAATGGTGAAGCTCATCGCATCATACCGATGTCCATAAACAAGCGGGAGCAGCAGTCTTCATATAGTAAATACTGTGGAATAGTTTTGTCATAGTTGTTGCTTTTGTCCTATTTTTGTCTTCATATTTAGGCTGCCTGGACAACAGCTCTGGCTCTGGATGTAAAAGCCCCCTGGGAGGGTTTCAGGGCTGCCTAAGGCTCATCACCATTGGTGACAAAGCGGTGGATCCCATCTTAGTACAGCAGGGGGCGCTGGGGAGTTTCAGGGACCTCCAGATAGACTCCTGCGGCATCACAGACAGGTAAGGGCCATCCTAGGTCACTTTAGCTTGCCTGTTTTCAAAGTTGAAGAAAGCAAATGTAGACAGCTGGAAAAAGGCATTCCGTTCTCTTTTTTGTTGTTGTTATCTTTCGAGAGGGAATGAAATAGTCATAATTACTATGAGGATTAGAAAACTTCATCTTGGCCGGGCGCGGTGGCTCACACCTGTAATGCGGCTGAGGCTGGCGGATCACGAGATCAGGAGATCAACTTCATCCTGGCTAACATGGTGAAACCCCGTCTCTACTAAAAATACAAAAAAAAAAAAATTAGCCAGGCGTGGTGGCGGCCACCTGTAGTCCCAGCTACTGGGGAGGCTGAGGCAGGAGAATGGCGTGAACCCGGGAGGTGGAGCTTGCAGTGAGCAGAGATCGCGCCACTGCACTCCAGCCTGGGCGACAGAGCGAGACTGCGTCTCAAAAAAAAAAACAAAAACAAAAACTGCATCTCTAATGGAATAAATAGCATTTTTTAAATGATAGTATTTTATTAGAAGACATACACCTTATGAATTTTACCTTAATATGATCCCAAGTTGCTCAGCTAATAGTTATCAAGCTCGCTTTTGCAACCCCACACCCATCAGTTGGATGATGTTTTTCCAGGCAGAGGAATTTGCCAGGTTACTATTCATCAGCCACCCAACCCCACATGTTCTGCAGAGAAAATAAAAAGTAATTTCTGCTAGAAAAGTTTGAATCATAAAGATGGATGAAGATGTGTGCAGAAGGACATAATGAAATATGGAGGTTAGACAAGAAAAACATTTAATTCAAATAAGTATTACAACCACAGTTATGCTAGCTGTGCCATAATTTTACAAAGATTTTGGCTGAGAAGAATCATAGGGTCACACCTGGAAAAATAATATTTCTACATACAGTTTGCCCTAGTACATTTGGTATTTACTTTCAGTGAATAAATAAATGCTACAGATTTAAAAATTAAAAAGTGATAATCTGGCCCGGCGCCGTGGCTCACGCCTGTAATCCCAGCTCTTTGGGAGGCCGAGGAGAGCGGATCATGAGGTCAGGAGATCGAGACCATCCTGGCTAACATGGTGAAACCCCGTCTCTACTAAAAATGCAAAAAATTAGCCAGGCATGGTGGCGGGCGCCTGTAGTTCCAGCTACTCGGCAGGCTGAGGCAGGAGAATGGCGTGAACCGTGGAGGCGGAGCTTGCAGTGAATGAGATCGTGCCACTGCACTCCAGCCTGGGTGACAGAGCCAGACTCTTCTCAAAAAAAAAAAAAAAAAAAGTTATATCTGCATCTGGTAGAACTTTCAAAACCTGCCTTCTTCATGGAGTAAATTCAGTTAGTCAATTCTGTTTTAAACATTAACTGTAAAATTATCCTCTCTGGCTAAACAGGTTTTAATTTATAACTCATAGTTAGTGACATACTAAAAAAACGTAATTACTACTAAATGAAAAGTTCATTCATATGGACTGTATTTATTCAGCATGGAATAATTTCCCCCTGTGAACATTCTGTTGATTTGTAGGAAAAATGAATTAATTCAAAGATGAGGAGTATATGAAGTGCAAGAATTTGTCAAGTACCTCTCATTCTTGACCTTGAGATTTGAATTCTTGGCACACAGCTGGGACTGCATTTATATCTCAACACCAGCTCCAGAACCCCACTCTGTAGTCGTGGGAAGGGTAGTTGGGAAGGTTTCTGGCCATTTGCTCACTTAATATAATCCCAAGTTGCTCAGCTAACTAGCCAGGGAGCTCAGCTCTCTCTGAGTTAAGGGGTAATGTCCCATGGGCCCACACTGTGAGTGACAAGAGCTGTCAGCTCAACTGTGATGCAAGTGTGATTTTCTTCACTTGTATGACATTATTTTGATACCTTGTTAATTACTCACAAAATATGATCCATTTGCAGTGTTTCTGTTATGAGATATATATCGTGAGGCTGCCTCTTTTCAGAGATGATCCATGTTGCCTGCTTTGTGCATGTAGCTCCTAAAGTACAAAACTATTGTTTTTACTGTTATAGGCTGTTTTGTTTTAACCTTAAAGTCCCAAGAGTTACATTGGTGCCTAACTTGGTCTCTAAGATCCCACATTTTAAAAAGGCCTCCAAATTGTACCCCAAAGTTACTTGTAAACATGCTCAACTAAGCAT
Source organism: Homo sapiens (assembly GCF_000001405.40). Lineage (NCBI taxonomy): Eukaryota > Metazoa > Chordata > Mammalia > Primates > Hominidae > Homo > Homo sapiens. Next base: position 39,147,647 of record NC_000009.12, on the reverse strand, counting down.
GTATGTGTGAGCCACACTTAAACTTCAGTCATGATGTGTACAATAATCATTGCAGATAAGGGTTTTAAGAAAGCACTTTTAAATTATTTTCAAATAGGGCTACAAATAAAGGCTATTTACTATTTCATTCCCAAAGTCAGTAACGTAGAAGACTAGCTCCTCTGAGATTATTTTGAAAACCTGAATTTTATAAAGCAATAAAATTAGAAAACTTTGGGGACACAAAATGACATTCTACAGAGTTAAAATTAAATACCTTTGCTGTTCCCTTTACATTAAGTTTTGAAAACCTGAAAATACTGAAAATTCACTTTTAAGTATCCTGAAAACAGGCCTGTAAGCATGTCAGCCTTTCTTTGTTGTTGTTAACAAACAAACAAAAATCTAATTGTATTAGTCTGTTCTCATGCTGCTAATAAAGATATACCCAAGACTGGGTAATTTATAAAGAAAAAAGGCTTAATGGATTCACAGTTCCACATGGCTGGGGAGGCCTCACAATGATAGCAGAAGGTGAAGGAGAATCAAGACACGTCTTACATGGCAGCATGCAAGAGAACCTGTGCAGGGAAACTCCCCTTTATAAAACCATCAGCTCTCGTGAGACTTATTCACTATCATGAGAACAGCATGAGAAAGATCTGCCCACATGATTCAGTTACCTCCCACAGGTTCCCTCCCATGACACGGTGGGAATTATGAGAACTACAATTCAAGATGAGATTTGGGTGGGGACACAGCCAAACCGTATCACTAATTCACAAAGTAGAAACATATGTTACTCAAATACCAGACCTAAAAATCCTACTTAGGGACAGATAAGGGGTATGAAGTTATCTTTTTTAGTCAAAATTTTAAGCTACACAAAAAATAGCAATGGGCACTTTGGATGACAGAGTCACAAATAATGGATGTTTATGTTTGGATAGGTGTTTGTTTGTTTGCTTGTTTGTTTTTTTGAGACGGAGTCTCGCTCTGTCGCCCAGGCTGGAGTGCAGTGGCACGATCTCGGCTCACTGCAAGCTCCGCCTCCTGGGTTCATGCCATTCTCGTGCCTCAGCCTCCCGAGTAGCTGGAACTACAGGCGCCCGCCACCACACCTGGCTAATTTTTTGTATTTTTAGTAAAGACGGGGTTTCACCGTGTTAGCCAGGATGGTCTCGATCTCCTGACCTCGTCATCCACCCGCGTCAGCTTCCCAAAGTGCTGGGATTACAGGCGTGAGCCACCACACCCGGCCAGGATAGGTTTTAACTTCTTAATCACCTCTTACATCAGACTGCTGTACTCTTTTAAGGTTTGCCCTGTATACCACATGGCAGAGCTTCCAATGGAGTCCTGTGCTGCATTCCAACTGGGGCTCCCTGAGCAGGGAGGCCTCCGTCACCTCCTCACCTGGCTGTGCTGACCAGGCTGCTGACCCCACTCCTGCCCTCCCTCTGCCATCTTCCCCTCTGTTGGTCTTCTGCATGCTAGCTACTTCCTCTATTATTTGTACTACGTGTAAATTTTTCACAATTCATGTTGTGTTTAGTTGAAGAAAAATAGTGTATACTTGTTGGTAGTCTCTAGATCACTTAAATAGTTCTTATTTCCAAATATTTTGAACTAAAGTTATTCTCTCCCTGTTGATATCAAACAGCAGTGGTTTTTAATGTTTTTTAAAATTTGTGGAATCTTCAAGTCAGGTATGATCTTAAGATGCTCCATTATATTAAGAAGGAAGGGGAGGAGAGGGAGAAGGATGTGGGGGAAGAGGAACAGCTGCTCTTTTAAAAATGGTATGAGGGTGGGCCCCCACCCCAGCCAACCTTGCCTGTCACTCCAACTGCCCCTCTTCTGATCAGTTCACACAGGCTTTTCCATGCCTTGGCCTTTGAAATACTTGAAAAGTTGTGATTCTCATGGCCCCTAACTCTTCTCTGAATGCAGACTAAATGCTCATTAACACCATGTAATTATGGAAGTCTTGGCCCTGAGCTGGTGGTGCAGTGCTGGAGAGCCAGGATAGGGGGCTGGGGGCATGGGGAGGGTAGGGAATGCTGCGGATTCTTCCCAGCCCCTCAGGTTCCCCTCAAAGGACCTCTCCCGAGGCCAAATACAGGCCCCTGGGGCTTTCTGTCAACTTCATACCCCAGTTCTCTGCTGGTCGTCCTTCCACCACAGCCAGGAGGCCTGTCACAACCTCCCGGCCCCTCTTCTGTTACTTCTCTGGGTCCCATGGTGAGGGGCACTTGGGTGCTCCCCGCCTCTGCCGCTCCAGCATGGACTATGATGTCCCTCACGGCCTGGAAGGTCAGTGTCCTTTAGAATCTTCACTCTTTACCAGGTCCTTAGCTGTGTACTCAGCAGTGGGAGACAGCGGCCAGAGGCTGAGATCCAACCCTGCTCAAGGCAGAGGTGGGTCATGGTATTCAGGCCAGGCCTCCAGAAGGTCACACTACCTCTTGGTGACACTCTGTGTCAGGTGCTGGTCAGTTTCCATAGTGTACCCTGCTCCCTGTTCCCCTAACAATCCTGAGAGGCAGGCATGCTAGGCCCCCAATATTATAGTGGGCGGCAGCAGATTCCAAGAATTCTGAAAGTGTGAGACCTCCAACTGTTCTTTTTCAAGATTGTTTTGGCTAGTTCAGGGTCCCTTGAGGTTCCCTATGAATTTTAGGATGGATTTTTGTTTTCTGCAAAAAAAGGCATTGGGATTTTAATAAGAATTGTATTGAATTTGTGGATTGCTTTGGGTCATATTGACATATTACCAGTGTTAAGATTGCTTAAAAAGCAATAACCGACTGCTTATTGCAAATCTAAAAGGTGACAAGATGACCTAAATTAAATGTTCTTCAAAATTTCTGAACCTCTGTCACTATGTGACTGAAGCTGTTCCTGTTTCTTTCTTCTCCCCTCTGTATCTTCCTCCCTGTTTCCCCTTCTTTCTTTTAAAAATGACCACAATATAGTAACGGAGCATGCCATATTTCATAGTTTTATGTATGTAATTGGTTTTGCTAGCCACATGTCAAGTTATTGTGTCACTTGGGACAAAGAAAAAAAGAAATGTGTTGAAAATTCAGCTGTCTCAGAAACCTAATAATCAGCTGCATGCTAATGGATATATTTATCTAAAGTTTGTCAATATAATTAGAGAACCTTGATGGCAGACCCAGTAATCACGTCATGTGGGGTTATCTTGCATATGCTGCTCTTTCACATTAACCTGTTTTTGGTTAACCTGTTTTTGGTAAGACACTTATTTTTTGATGATTGAAAAAGGGAAACAGCAGTTGTATCTGTTTTCTTTTAGGTGCTTGCCCAGCTACTGTGAGCATGGGGGCGAGTGTTCCCAGTCGTGGGACACCTTCTCCTGTGACTGTCTAGGCACAGGCTATACGGGCGAGACCTGCCATTCCTGTAAGCCTCACGCCTCCCTCTCGTTTCTGTCAGCATCTCTTTGTCATTTCATTTTGATTAGTTGTTTATATGTATCTGCATATTTGCAATCATGCAAACACATCAGAAGAGATATTTCAGCACTCAATTTCTAGTTTACTTTTAATCCACCTTATTTAATACAAGGTGTTGAGACAGTGCACAGAAATACGTGGTACGCATAGGATTGAAAAAAAGAAACTGGCAAGCAATGGGGAAATAAGTCTAGGAGAATCAGATATAGTAAAAGGTAGAAACTAAATTAAATTAAAAATGCATGATGTAACAGCTTGTTCCATTACTTGAGTTGGACCATACTTTTAATTCTGAGAATCTTCTCAGTCAAAGAAAGGTGGAAAAACAACCCCTTGCCAGGCTGTCAATGCTACATTTAAGGTATTTAAAGATTTTTTAACAATCACTGGGATGATGCAATCATGGGATTGTACATGGTAAGATTTTTGAAGAGGTAATGGGATATCAGCTAGAAACTAGAGGACCTTTAAGATCTCTTACAATGACTGTGATTTTCTTTGGTGGTGGTGATGATGATTGTAAAGTGAATAAGTGTAAAAGTATTAATGTATTGAGTACTTATGTCAGCCCTCTGCTATTGCTTTGCATATATTAACTCATTTAACCCTAAAGAAGCTCCAGGAAGAAAGTACTCTTATTATCTTCATTGCAGAGTTGAGGACAGAAAGAGGTTAAGTAACTTGGCCCCCAGCTAGTTTGTGGGAAGATGAGGAGTTGAGCTAAGGAGGTTGGCTCCACAGCCTTGGCTCCAGGATGCCTGATTGGTGGTCCATGCACCAGCAGCACCCACAGCCCCTGGGAGCCTGTTGCAAGTAAAGACTCTCAGGCCTTACCCAAACTTACTAAATCAGAATCGCTGGAGATGGGGCCCCGAGTCTCTTGTAACCAACCTTCCTCATGCTTCTGGTAGACATTTAAGTGTAAGAACAATGTCTAAGGGATGGCATATTCTAACACTTCTCAACTGCCTCTGCCATATTAAAAATCATCTGTCTTTACTGAAGAATCACCCTCTGAATTTCAAAGGCCATGCCATTTTATTGACCTCTAACCTGTTATAATTAGAACATCACAGAATCTGAAAAGCCTTTTTTTTCCTATTTGTTTTTAACTTTTAAAGTTTTCTTTCTGTATATCTCTACTGACGTTTCTGAGCAACTTCTCCTCAGGAATATTTCGCCCATCCCTGGGTCTTCAAGGAAACAGAGATGCAAAGTCCTCAGTTCCACTTGCTCATCCTGAGTTCCTAATTGAAACTTTTAAGAACTCTTCCGTGAGACATTTGATTTTCACAAAAGCCACAGGAGAAAGGCAGGCTGTGGAGTGTTAAAACCACAGTTCATACATGGAATGAGAATTCTGCGCTCCCAGTCCTGAGGTTCTGTAAAGGATCTGGGCAAAAGAGGAGACAGTCCAGGAGTGACTCTCACAGATTGAAGCATGAAGTATGATTTTTGTACTAGAAGGGTCCCTGTTTATAAAGCCGTGACACATTTTCTTTTTTTTTTTTTTTTGAGACGGAGTCTTGCTCTGTCGCCCAGGCTGGAGCCCAGTGGCATGATCTCAGCTCACTGCAAGTTCTGCCTCCCGGGTTCACGCCATTCTCCTGCCTCAGCCTCCCGAGTAGCTGGGACTACAGGAGCCCACCACCACACCTGGCTAATTTTTTGTATTTTTAGTAGAGACGGGGTTTTGCCATGTTAGCCGGGATGGTCTCGATCTCCTGACCTTGTGATCCACCTGCCTTGGACTTCCAAAGTGCTGGGATTACAGGCATGAGCCACCATGCCCAGCCGCTGTGACACATTTTCTAGGAGTTGAGTGGCCTCTCACACCAGAGGTTGAATGTCTTGATAAGGTCATAGAGTTGGTGCAGGGAGTACATCTTTTACTTCTGTGTATCTTTCATCCTCCAGGCATAGTATCTTACCTAAAAGCAGAAGCCTAATCTTGTGTGTTACCTGGCAAATTTATATCCACCACCACACTCAGCATCATCTGATTGCATTTAATGTTGCAATTAATCAATGAGTTATATTAGTCCATGGTTATTCACTGCAATCAAAATATAACTCCAAAAACTTCTGAGGGAAAATATCAGGAGATTGAAAAAGTATTTCAAGTGTCAGTCTCATCTAATAGTTGACGGCTATAGGTAGAAATTTGCCAAGTCCACAGTCATTCACTGTGAGACTAGACTGCCACACCTAGTTGAATAGGTTATTTTGTATTTCTAATTGTATAACATGTATCAATTATGTGCAACTAATTAATTGTATATAATTATTAATTGTATATAACTCATTAATTGTATTCAATTGATATATACTATACATTAATACATGTGTACATTATCATTTAAAAAGCCAAAAAATTCACATAAAGCACAAATTCTAGTCACTTTCCTCAATATTTGTCTCCATTCCAAACCTAGTCTGTGCCCTATATTTAAGTATTGTTATTAATTTGAGTGAATCCTACCAGACATATACAAATATATGTATCTATTTAAATCAATATGCCATAAGTGGCAAAAAAATAAAGATTAGCAATGTCCATCTCCTGCAGATATTAATTCCATACCTTGTACTTGGTAAAACATTTGCTTGCACAAATGAAAATATTCAATTATGCTAGAGTAAATTTACATTATATAGGGATATCTTTCAAAAAAGTTTCTCTCCTGTTTTGAATTTCAGCTGTCTTGAATTGTCACTTGCAAAATACTTAGGGAAGTTTCTTTTTTAAATCAGCTTTAATTATTTTTTAATGATGAGATGTTGATAGCTTATAAATTCTATTTATCTCTTTAAAATGCTCATTCATATTGTTTTAAAGGAAGCAAAGGGTATAACTGCCGCATAGCTTAAGAAAAACTTTACAGAATGCTTATGGGAAAATACCAGATTATTTAGGCAGTTTAATGTGCTCAGGTATTCAGTTATTACAGGGTGAATGAGGGTTTCTTCCTTAATTATAGAGTTTAATTCTGAGGTATAGTTGCCATGAGTTTGAAAAGAACCATGTTTCAATAGCACGCAGAATTCAGATTCACAAAGTTTTCCTCTCATATCTCTTCAAGTGTTTTACACTGTGCTTCAGAGTTTGCATGCTTTCTTGCCTAAAAGCAAAAGAAAACATTTATGTAGAGAAACTACAGTCTCTAGACATTGCCAAAAGATTGTCTATTGAAGATAGTATCGCATTCCCACTGTAAGCACATCTTCATGTTTGAACACCAACACAATCTTTCCTTCTTCCTCAAAATAGAAATACACTGTGACCAAATATTTATTCAGCATCTAACAACATCCAACATTTGAATGTATTTTGACTAGGTAATTTTTTTCTCCTTTGTTAATAAAAATAGATTTAATTTTTTAAATGTCATTTTTTTGCATCTCATCAAATATACTGTCATACACTATCAAAATGATGTTGGGTCATATGTATCACATGTCTGTAATTCAGAAATGCAAACCTTTGGACACTGACTCAACATCTGGAGATATTTTTTCTGGTTCTTATGGCTGGTGTTCTCCTACAGCTCTCTACGAGCAGTCTTGTGAAGCCCACAAGCACCGAGGGAACCCGTCTGGGCTTTACTATATTGATGCAGATGGAAGTGGCCCCCTGGGACCATTTCTTGTGTACTGCAATATGACAGGTATGTTGATAATCGTTATATGCATATATCAGAATAGACCAAGGAGAAATTTACCTAGTTGGCAGCATTATTAAAACATGCAGTTTGATAGTGTGTACTTGCTAAGTAGAAGCATTAAATATATATTTATTAATTTTGTTGTCAACAAAATTTTCTTGTATTTCTTGTTTGCCTGGGTTGGATTATAGGAAAGATTCAGTGCTCTGCCAAGGCATCTCTCTAGCTCCTACACTCTTCGTAATACATCTGTTCATGTGCATCATGAAAAATACAAACCTCTGATTCGGTAATTTACATGCTTTCTGTATTTAGAAAAAACAGAGGTCTTTAAAAGTGCTAAGAAATAACATAGATATGTTAATGTTCTATGTGCATCTTAAATAATTTAGTGATTTTTATGGCATATAATTTTTTCATAACCAAAGAAACTTGATTATTTCTCGTGCTTTAGATATTAGAAATGAACACTGCTTGGGCTGGGCATGGTGGCTCACGCCTGTAATCTCAGCACTTTGGGAGGCCAAGGCGGGCAGATCACGAGATCCAGAGATTGAGACCATCCTGGCCAACGTGGTGAAACCCCATCTCTACTAAAAATACAAAAATTAGCTGGGCATGGTGGCACCCGCGCCTGTAGTCCCAGCTACTTGGGAGGCTGAGGCAGGAGAATCCCTTGAACCAGGGAGGCAGAGGTTGCAGTGAGCCAAGGTTGCGCCATTGCACTCCAGCCTGACGACAGAGCAAGACTGCATCTCAAAAAAAAAAAAAAAGGAAAAAAAGAAATGAACACAGCTTGATTATAGAAGATTGCACTAGAATGCCTTTTAAATAGTTACATTTTTACAGAAATTTGTTGTCACCTAGCTCTTCCAACTCTCTGCAAAGTGGAAATCTGGAATAAACTGTTCTCATTTATTGTGCTGACAAAAGGTTTCAAAAGTTTCATAAATTTGGACAATAACCAAATGGGTCAGCAAGCATCAAGGAAAAAGAAACAAATAACTGAAATTACATGGGCATTTAAAGTGCCTTAGCAAAGATTGCCAAAAAGTAGTAAAACTTTACAGGGGACGTTCAGAAGATTCAGAGCCACCTGCACAGCAATGTGCTGAAGATAAAGAAACACAGGCGTTCTGCCATAAGATACCAATTACCTCCAAAATCCCCTGACTCAAACAATGAAAGCAAAGTGAGAAATCCCATAAAAATGGTCTTGGTGGATATCAAAAGACTCAACCAAAGTCACAACCAGGAAGGACCTTGGTTGTCATCATTTTAAGATGAGGAAACCAAGGCTCAGAAAAGTTGGTTAGGGAAGTATCTACTGACAAAATCTAGCTAATGATAGGGGAATCACTAAACTCTGGTCTCTTTTCTGCCCTAGAAAATGTCACCTTCTCTTTAGATGCCCCATTGCGCTATAGCCAGTAATAAATTCTCTAGTTGTACAAATCAAGCAATAATGATTATAAAATGTGCAATTTCAAACTACTCTAATAGCTTGAAATGTATATATGGTAATAACCTTCAAAAAGCAGTTGCTTCAGAGCTTGGAAGTCAGCACTCTGTCTTAAGAACAAGTAAAAAGCCAGGCAAACTGAAAAATCAACCAATTTTTTTAGATCCAGCAGAGAAGTGAGGTCACAGAACAAACCACTGCCCCTCAAAATTGGAGAGACAGGCAGGCTTATATACAGAATGACAATTTTCTTCCACAAGCACTAACCTTTGGGGAAACCGTTGTCAAGGTAGGAAAACCTAAACTTAATTGACGAATTGTTGGATGTTCGATGTGGACACATCTGAGAGTTAAAAACTCCAGGAAGACCCAGACAGAGAAGGGTCCCCACACTTCTGTGAGTTTGACACCTAGCTTGACCAGGTTCTCACAGTGAATGTTGGAGAAAAATCTCCTCATGCTTCCAGAAAGGGAAGGTGAAAAGGAACCATCTTGAAGTACACCAGAGCTTTCTGTTCTTCTTAACAAGGTCTTTCCTCAAGGGCAAATATTTCACCTAAGCTACTGGTGTTTTGTTTTCTTGTTTTGTTTTGTTTTGTTTTGTTTTTTGTTTTCAGAGCCTAACCTGCCTGGAGGAAGGAAATTACCCACCTCTGGCCATCCTGTCCCCAAGTAAGGGTGGTGATGGGAGGGAGGGCTGAGAAGCTCTTGTGAAGGTCACAGCCCAGAGGCTAAGGCTCCCTAAAGGACTCAGACCTAATCACAGGGCTATAGAACCTTTCCCCTTCCCACACATGTTACTTATAGTACTGCAGGCCTCTTTACAGCAGTTACAGTTACTTTTACCTGGTACATCACATCTGGTTATCAAGAAAAAATTTCAGCTGGACCTATAATCCTATTACTTTTTGAGAAGCTGAGGAGGGAAGATAGCCTGAGACCAGTTTTAAGACCAGTCTGGGCAACACAGTGAGACCCCCACCTCTACAACAACAACAACAACAAAAAACAGCATTGTGACAACAACAACAACAAAAAACAGCATGGTGACATGTATCTGTAGTCCCAGCTACTTGGGAGGCTGAGGTGGGAGGATCGCTTGAGCCTGGGAGTTGGAGACTGCAGTGAGCCATGGTCACACCACTGCACTCTAGCCTGGGCAACAGAGAAAGACCTTGTCTCCAAAAAAAGAAAAAGAAAAAATTTCAAGGCAAAAAACACACTTTGAAGAGACAGAGCAAGCATTAAAAACAGACGGTGGCTCACGCCTGTAATCCCAGCACTGTGGGAGGCTGAGGCAGGTGGATCACGAGGTCAGGAGATCGAGACCATCCTGGCTAACACGGTGAAACCCTGTCTCTACTAAAAATACAAAAAAAATTAGCTGGGCATAGTGGCGGGTGCCTGTAGTCCCAGCTACTCGGGAGGCTGAGGCAGAAGAATGGCATGAATCCGGGAGGCGGAGCATGCAGTGAGCTGAGATCATGCCACTGAACTCCAGCCTGGGTGACAGAGCAAGACTTTGTCTCAAAAAAACCAAAAAACAAAACAAACAAAAACCAGAGTCAGATATGGCAGGGACATTGGAATTATCAGACCAGGACTTTAAACAACTATAATTAATATGGAAAAAGCTGTAATGGATAAAATAGATAGCATGCAAGACCAGATGAACAATGTAAACAGCAAGATGGAAATTCTAAGAAGCAAAAAGGAGTGCTAGAGATCAAAAACAGCATAACAGAAATGAAGAATGCCTTTGATGGGCTTATTAGTAGACCAGGCACAGCTTTGGAAAGAATCCCTAAGCTTAGAGATACCTCAATAGAAACTTGCAAAACTGAAAAGCAAAGAGAAAAAAAGACTGAACCCAACCCCCCGCAAAAAGAAAACCCAGAACATAATATCTGAGTACAGTGGCACAACTACAAAAGGTGTAACATACGTGTAAAGAGAATTCTAGGAGAAGAAAGAAAGAAAGGAACAGAAGCATATTTGAAGAAATAATGACTGAGAATTCCCACAAATTAGTATCAGACACCAAACCACAAATCCAGGAAGTTTAGAGAACACCAAAGAAGGAGAAATGCCCCCAAAACTCTACCAGGCTTATATTTTCAAACTATAGAATTCAAAGATAAAAGTAAACTCCTTTTTTTGAGATGGAGTTTTACTCTCATTGCCCAGGCTGGAGTGCAATGGTACGATCTTGGCTCACCACAACTCCGCCTACTGGGTTCAGGTGATTCTCCTGCCTCAGCCTCCTGAGTAGCTGGGATTATGGGCATGTGACACCATGCCTGGCTAATTTTTGTATTTTTAGTACAGACAGGGTTTCTCCATGTTGGTAAAGCTGGTCTTGAACTCCCGAACTAAGGTGATCCACCCACCTCAGCCTCCCAAAGTGCTGGGATTACAGGCATGAGCCACCGTGCCCAGGCCAGGTAAAAGTAAATTCTTAAAAATAATCAGAGGAAGAAAGCACCTTACCTACATAGGAGATAAGTATTACAGCGACTTCTCTTCAGAAATCATGCCAGCAAGAATGGAGTGAGATACTTAAAGTGTGAAAGAGAGAAAACAAAACAAAACAAAACCTTCTCCTTGAAAAGTGAAGAAATAAAGATTTTCTCAGACAAATGAAAGGGTCAGTTCTCTAAAAGAGATAACCTTAATATGTATGCTCCTGACAACAGAACAGTGGATCTTATTTTCTTTCTTCTTCTGGGACATATAGGAATGGGTATACCAGATGCTGGGGATTTCATATGATATACTAAGTAAATTTTAAGTGCAGACAATCCCCGTTTACAATGGTTCTACTTACAATATTGCGACTTCACTATGTGAAACCATATGCATCCCTATTTCAAGTACCCATACAACTATTATTTTTATTATTATTATTATTATTATTATTATTATTATTTTGAGACAGAGGCTTGCTCTGTCACCCAGGCTGGAGTACAGTGGCACGATCTCGGCTCACTGCAACCTCCACCTCCCAGGTTCAAGCGATTCTTCTGCCTCGGCCTCCCCGGTAGCTGGGACTACAGGCACGTGCCACCACGCCCGGCTAATTTTTTGTATTTTTAGTAGAGATAGGGTTTTACCATGTTAGCCAGGATGGTCTCGATCTCCTGACCTCGTAATCTGCCTGCCTCGGCCTCCCAAAGTGCTGGGATTACAGGCGTGAGCCACCATGCCTGGCCACAACCATTATTATTATTTTCTTTTTTACTCTCAGTACAGTAGTTAATAAATGACATGAGATATTCAACACTTTATTATAAAATAGGCATTGTGTTAGATGATTTTGCCCAACTGTAGGCTGATTTAAGTGTTCTGAGCACATTTAAGTTAGGCTGGGTTGAGCTAGGTTCAGTAGGTCACATGTATTAAAGTGCATTTTTAATTTATAATAAGTTCATCTGGATGCAACTTCATCATAAATTGAGGAACATCTGTACTGTTAATTCCAATCAAAATCATGAAGTTAAATTAGCTTAATTTTCAAAGTCGGATATTTATTTGAGCAACAGGAGTGGAACAGGGATCAACGTGTTACAGTTACCCTCCTTCTGGGCTAGTGAGACAGCCTCCAGTGTGTTCAGACTCAGCCACACCTCTGATCCCCTTTCCACATTTAGCCACTGTTATAATTAATCTACTCAGGTCCAATTCACTTGAGCCCAGGAGGTCGAGGCTGCAGTAAACTATGAAGGTGCCACTGCACTCCAAGCTGGGCAACAGAGGGAGACCCTATCTCTAATAAAAAAGAAAAAGAAAAATATAAGGGTTATATTAGATGCTCTTTAAGATCCTTTCCAGTTCCAATATGCTTATAATCAATTGAAATAAATTATGAGCAATTAAGGAAACCACAATGGTCTATGTCCTTCTTTGGGTGTTTTACTACTGATATTATAAGGAGAAGTGAGTCAAGTGGAATTTTATAAACACAAATGCATAGCCTATAATGTCCCTGGTTACTATTCTACTCTTCAGAAAAACAAGTTTTACAGATGTATTCTGAACAGTTCCCTTCTCAGTACTGAGGGCATTTCTGTGATCACATCTTAACCATGGGTGACTGCAAATCTATCATACTGCCCACCGGCCTATGTGAACTACTCTGGACCATCATTTCTCTCCCATTGTACAACAAATCATGAACACATGGCCAAAAATGGCATGTGGTTGATCATCTTCAATGCCCAACTTAGTGTTCCATAGGTTTTTCTATATTTGATTCAGTTGATAGGAAAACTCTGAAGGTGAGAGTAGGTGATGTGCACAGAGTAACACCAGGTTGTAAAAATTCTAAAATGAGGCCAGGCGTGGTGGCTCACACCTGTAATCCCAGCACTTTGGGAGGCCAAGGTGGGTGGATCACCTGAGGTTGGGAGTTCAAGACCAGCCTGGCCAACATGGTGAAACCCCCGTCTCTACTAAAAAAATACAAAAATTAGCCAGGTGTGGTGGTGTGTGCCTGTAGTCCCAGCTACTTGGGAGGCTGAGACAGGAGAACTGCTTGAACCCAGGAGGCAGAGGCTGCAGTGAGCTGAGATAGCGCCACTGCACTCCAGCCTGGGCAACAGAGCGAGACTCTTATCTCAAAAATAAATAAATTAAATAAAAAATCTAAAATAAAAAAAATAGAGCAATATTAAAGGAAGAACCCATGGAATTGAAATTACCATAGGCACACTTAGAGCCTCCTTTGGTGAGTACAGTGAGTGGAGTGATAATTTAATTTAAAATTGCATTCATTATTTAAATTTGCAGATTTTTTTCTGTACTTGTGGCTCATTTGTGGATATCACACCTTTCCTCTCCATGGGTTCTGTGACTAAAGAGATATTTCAGTAGCATGGCTGGTTTTCTTTTCCTTCTTTCCTCTGATCTCTGTTGTTAGGCGTGTGTAAGTAACAGTAAGGCTGTGAAATTTGTCTTACGCACAGTTAGCAGCCAAGCCATTAGAAATCCTGAGATGTGAAGGGCTGGCAGGGTGATTTCTCAAGGTAAAATGTATCACATTGTTTTGTTTCGTAGTTCTTAAAAAATCCCCATACGAATGTTTCTTCATTTCTCCAGTTCGGAAAATTTTTATGTAAAATGTCCATTATTCTAAATACATCTTATTAGAGGTTAAAGGACCAGACAGCACCAGCATAGTAGAATTAAAGTGACTTCAAGTCTGGTGGGAGGTCCATTTTTGGGAACACTAAAGAACTCAAGATGCACTTCTTCCCTTTTGAGATTGTGGAGTCATTTTGTTTTTATTTCATCAAAACAATATAAGTAATCAAGTGACAGAGATACATCAGAAATGATGTCAGCAGGCAGTCAGATGCTCAGGGTCACCGCCTGGAAAGTGCTGTTAGAAGCTCAAGGCCTCTGATTCCTCTGGGCTTGGTCACTGATGGATAAGCTGACATAATTAAACCACTTTATTTTAATAGAGCTGCTTCCTATCATACCTGTGAGTATGTGCGTCACATCGTCCCAATATGTATCTTTTATAAATTTATTCGATAATGAAAGAAATAGAGGCACATACAGATGAGGAAAATGCAGATGAGTTTAAAAAGATAAAGGTCCAGGTAGTAACAGTTTGGCCCCATGCTTGTGTTGATATAAAAAAATGGTTTTAACAACTAAAAAGTCATTGCTTACATGATACACTTTTAGGCGTGACGTCACAAAAGTTTGGTCATCAGTTCTTCCAATATGCTTTCTCTTAGAGGCTGAGTTCTGGCTCAGTACATTGTTACACAGGTCCAACTCCTCAAATCGCGGCAAACATGCAGTAATGTAAATTTCAATTAAACGTTAATTCACATAAAAGACAGGTCTGCTTTGCCTCTTGCTGCTGGCCTCTGCCGTCCAGTGATGCCTCTCCTTTGCCCGTTTCTGCTCAGCAGACGCCGCGTGGACGGTGGTGCAGCACGGTGGCCCCGACGCGGTGACCCTCCGAGGTGCCCCCAGCGGGCACCCGCGCTCGGCTGTGTCCTTCGCGTACGCAGCGGGCGCGGGGCAGCTGCGGTCCGCGGTGAACCTGGCGGAGCGCTGCGAGCAGCGGCTGGCTCTGCGCTGCGGGACGGCGCGGCGCCCGGACTCACGAGGTAAGCGCCACTCCTGGAGGCTACAGGGGTTCACGGGGCCGGGGCGCGGCCCTCGGGCTGCGAGATGCGTTTGAGGGAGAAAAGGCCAGGGTCCCTCCCGTGGCTCTTAGTTCAAAGCCCTGACCACTCTCTCCTTCTCTTCCCGCTCTTGGTTGGACCAAAGAGCATTCAAGAGCGCCTTCCTGACCGTTGAGAGACGTTCAGCGCGTTCATATGCAGGACTAGTGACTTGTCCTTTCTTAATCAAGGGAAATTTTGCTGATAACTTATGCCTTAGCTTTCCGTTCACACTGAGGAGATAATGGCTGTAGGGCAGGCTGGGTCTAACAATTCTTCATGAAGACCAGTGGGAACCGGTAACCACCTTACTCTGGTCAAAGTCTTCCTCTAAATCTACCTGGAACGTTTGTTTCCTCCCTTTAGATTAACTGAATATGCCCTTCCTCAGCCCCGCCACTTTCACTGTGGTCTAGGATGAAATAATGACTAGGGTTATTAAAACCTTTTGTCAGTGGGTGTCTCATTTTTTTGAAATTATATCTTGAGAAATGTATACCTTAATCTTCATATATGGAAGTAATGTTTTGGAAACTCTGCCTGCATCAAAACCATCTTCTCCTAAGTTAAAGACCAACTTCCCCCTCCTTTCCGGAATCCCCACAAGTCCCCTGCAGGACTCACTGCTGCTCTCCAACAGTTTCCATATAGTTTCTTGAAAGCACTTTATTGCTAATTATAGTTAAATACTGAAATTTGCCTTTCTTTTTTTAGTTTTAGCAATCCCAAATAGTATATAGGCGGGAGGATCACTGGAGCCCAGGAAGTCCAGGCTGCAGTGAGCTGTGATTGCTTCACTGCCTCCAGCTTGGGCAGCAGAGCAACACCTTGTCTTAAAAAAACAAAAACAGTATATGTCGGTAGCATAATAAAGCCACTTAAATTAAATTTCACTCTTTAATTTTCAATACAAAATCTTTAAGTTGGAAAGTGGTGTATGACTGTCATCTGAAGGTGGTTTGCGCTGATCCGCTAACCCATACCTGCATTGCCTTCCCTAATCTGTCTGGCCAATCAGCCCCTGGAATATGCCAGACCATTTCCTCTGCCTGGATTGGCCTCTCTGTCACCCAGGCTGGAGTGCAGTGGCACGATCTTTGCTCACTGCAACCCCCTCCCCTCCCGGATTCAAGCGATTCTCCTGCCTCAGCCTCCCGAATAGCTGAGAATACAGGCGGGTGCCGCCATGCCCGGCTAATTTTTGTATTTTTAGTAGAGACGGGGTTTCACCGTGTTGGTCAGGCTGTTCTTGAACTCCTGACCTCAGGTGATCCGCCCGCCTCAGCCTCCCAAAGTGTTGGGATTACAGGCGTGAGCCACCGCGCCCGGCCCTCACACTCTTAAATCTTACCCACTGTGCTAGACCTGTGCAGTCGGCATCTGGGTCCCTTCCCAGGGTGATCCCTCTCTCCCCTGGATGCCTGCCAGCCAATTTGGTCTAGTAGAAAGAGCAAAGGTCTGGTTGCATTCAAAGTTTGAAGTTCAAGTGGTAAGTCTGTCACTTAGCAGCTGTGGAAATTTAGGCCATTCCTTAATCTTTCTCAGACTTTGTTTCCTCTTTGATGAAATGGACCCTGTAGTATTGATCTCATGGGGTTTCTTTTATAAATGAGATAGCTTACATAAGTTCAGTAAGTAAGAAACTCTCCTTCCCAGTTCTCCAGTTTTTTAAAGTTGGCATTACAAAACTTAATTATTTGTTAGTTCATTGCTGTTGAATGAAGTGTAGCCTTGGCTTTGGAATTGTTTAAAAAAAAAATCCCCAGGTGATCTTTTGGAAACTACTGGGCTAGGGGCTAAAATAACACAAGAAATGGAATATTCTACTCCCATCAGTGAGAATTTCCCTATTTCTCCTCTTTTGAAAAGATAATTTAAAAAAAAATTTGAGATAATTGTAGATTTACATACACTTGTGAGAAGTAACAGAGAGAACCCGAGTAGCCGTTAAGCAGTTCCCCCACCCCAAGGTGACATCTTGTAGAAGTATAGTGCAATATCACAGCCGGAATCTTGACATCCATACAGTCAAGATACACAGTATTTCCATCAGCACAAGAATTCCTCCTATTGGCCGGGCACGGTGGCTCATGCCTGTAATCCCAACACTTCGGGAGGCCGAGGCGGGCGGATCACGAGGTCAGGAAATCAGACCATCCTGGCTAACATGATGAAACACCGTCTCTACTAAAAATACAAAAAAGTAGCCAGGCTTGGTGGCAGGTGCCTGTAGTCCCAGCTACTTGGGAGGCTGAGGCAGGAGAATGGCGTGAACCCAGGAGGTGGAGCTTGCAGTGAGCCGAGATGGCGCCACTGCACTCCAGCCTGGGCGACAGAGCAAGACTCCGTTCCATCTCAAAAAAAAAAAAAAAAAAAAAAGAATTCCTCCTATTGCTCGTTAATAACCACTAGTATGTTCTCCATTTCTATGGGTTTTTTTAAATTTCAAGAATGTTATGTAAATGAAATTATATAGTATGTACTCTTTGTGGTTGAGTTTTTTTCACTCTGTGTAATCCTCTCTAGATTCATTTGCATAATTGTGTATATCAGTAATTTGTTCCTTTTCATTGCTGATTAGCAATCGGTGGCATGGATATACCAGAGTTTATTCACTCATTGAAGGGCATCTGGGTTGTTTGTTTACAGTTTGGGGCAATTATGAATAAAGCTTTTATGAACATTGTGTACAGGTTTTGTGTGAACATCAGTTTTCATTTCTCTGGAATTAATGCCCCAAAGTGCAATTGGTGGGTCATATATGGTAATTGCATACTTAGTTTTATAAAAAGCTGCCAAATTGTTTTCTAGAATGGTTGTACCATTCCCACCAACAGTGTATGATTTCATTTCCTCCACATGCTCATCAGCATTTGGTGTTGTGACTATTTTTTATTTAAGCTATTCTGATAACTGTGTAGTAATATCTTTATTGTGGTTTTAATTTGTGTCTCCCTGATGTCTAATAATATTGAGCATGTTTTATATGCTTATTTGCCATCTGTATATCGTTTTCAGTGAGATAGATGTCTGTGAATGTGTTTTTGTTGTTGTTCATTTTCTAATTGGATTGTTTGGATTTGTTTTGTTACTGTTGAATTTTCAGTTCTTTATACATTCTAGATACTAGCCCTTTGCTGGATATGTGATTTGCAAATATTTTTTCCCACTCTGTTGCTTGCCTATTCATCGACTCTTAACTGGAATTTTTTAGAGCAAAAGTTTTAATTTTGATGAGATTCAGTTTATCATATTTTCCTTTTATGGGTTGTACACATCGTGTCAATTCTAAAAATTCTTTACCTAACCCTAAATTCCAATTCCAAAGATTTTTGAATTTTTTTCCTAAAAGTTTTCTAGTTTTACCTTTTACTTTTAATTCCATGCCCTATTTTGGGACACATTTTATATAAGATGTGAGAGTTGATTCTCTCTCACTCTCTCTGACTATGAATGTTCAGTTGCTCCAGAACCATTTGTTGAAAAGGCTATCCTTCCTGCATTGAATTGCATTTTAAATATTGTTAAAAATTGGTTGAACTTACTTGTGTGGTGGGTCTGTTTCTGCATTCTTTATCTGTTTCATTAATTTATATGCCTCCACCAATATCACACTGTCTTGAACATGGTAGCTGTATAGCAGGGTTGAGTTATTCCTCCTGCTTTATTCTTCTTTTTCAAGATTGTTTAAGTAAGTCTGTAGCTTGCCTCATTCTGTATAAATTTTGTAATAAATTTGTTTATGTCTACAAACATCTTGCTAGAATTTTTATGGGAATGACATTAAACATAATAGCTCAATGAAGGGAAAATTGGTGTTTCACTGTTTTGAGTCTTCCAATCCATGAACATGAGATATCTTTCCATTTATTTGGATCTTTGATTTCTTGCCTCAGCATTTTGTAATTCTTAGCATCCAGAGATTATATGTTTTATAAGTATGCTTAGGCATTTAGTTAGTTTCTTGATTGATTATAAGTGCTGTTGTGCTTTACATTTTTGTTTACATGTTTCTTGTTAGAATATGAAATATGATTGTTTCATACTAATCTTATAAGCTCTTTTTTGAACTTAATTTTTTTTTAGTTTCCTTGGGATTTTCTATATGGAAAATCATGTCATCTGCAAGTAGAGTCAGCTTTATTTCTGCCTCGTCAATCTGTAGGGAGTTAATTTATTTTTCTTGCTTTATTGCAGTAGCTAGACTTTCAATCCTAGGTTGAACTAGAGTGGTGAGGGCAGACATCCTTGCCTTGTTTCCTGTCTTAGGGGAAAAGCATTCATTCTTGTTTCCTATGTTATGTGGAGGTAGTTCCCTTTTATTCCTGGTTGGCTGACAGTTTTTATTTTGAAAGGACATTGGATTTTTGTCAAATGTCTTTTCTGTGTCAATTGGTATTAAAATATTATATTTCTTCTTTTGTCTGTTGATATGTTGAATCAGCTTTGCATAACTAGAGCAACTCCCATTTTGCCATAATGTATAATTTAAAAAATACATTTCTAATGTGTTTCATTTATTAATATTTTATTGAATATTTTTGCATTCAAATTCATAAGAGATATTGATATGTAGTTTTCTTTTTTCATATTGTCTTTATCTGGTTTCAGTATCAGGACAATACTGCCTACATAAAATGAATTTGGTAACATTCTCTAGTCTCCTGTTTTCTGGAAGAGATTATGTAAAATTGACTTTAATTTTTATTTAAACATTTGGTAGAATTCTCCAGTAAGGCCCGGCAGGGTGGCTCACGCCTGTGATCCCAGCACTGTGGGAGGCTGAGGCAGATGGATCATTTGAGGTCAGGAGTTCGAGACCTGCCTGGCCAACATGGTGAAACCCCGTCTCCACTAAAAATACAAAAATTAGTTGGGCGTGGTGGCGCACACCTATAATCCCAGCTACTCAGGAGGCTGAGGCAGGAGAATCGCTTGAACTTGGGAGGCAGAGGTTGCAGTGAGCCAAGATCACACCACTGCACTCCAGCCTGGGCAACAGAACGAGATTTCATCTCAAAAATAAAAACCAAAAACAAAACAAAACAAAAAGAATTCTCCAGTAAAACCATCTGGGCCAAGAGATTTTTTTTTCAGTAATTTTAAATTATGAATTCAATTTTCTTAATAGTTACAATTACTTAAATTACCTATTTAATGTTAGGTGAATTGTGGTAGTTTGTACTTTTTGAGAAATTTGTCCATTAATCTGAATTGTCAAGTTGATTTGTGTAGAATTATTTATAGTATTTTCTTATTATTTGTTTGATGTCTCCAGCATCTGTAGTGATATCCACTTAAATTTCTCATATTCATAGTTTGTCTCATCTGTTTTTGTCTCTGTCAGTCTTGATAGAAGTTTTTCAATCTTACTGTTTTTTAGAACTAGATTTTCGATTCATGATTTTCTCTATTATTTTTGTTTCAAATTCTATTGAAATCTGCTCTTCTCTTTGTTATCTCCTTCCTTCAGCTTGTATGAGTTAATTTTGTTTTCTAGTTTCTAGAGGTAAGAACTTACATTATTGGCTTTAGGGCTTTCTTCTTTCCTAATGTAGGCATTTAGTGCTACGTTTTCCCTATCAACACAGTTTTACCTACATTTCACATATTTTGATATGTTGTATTCTCATTTTCACTTAGTTTTTCATGTAGTTTCATTTTCATTTAAGTATTTTAATAAATTTCTTTGAAGCATATTCTTTGACCTGTAGCTTATTTAGAAGTGTATTTTTAAAAATTTCTAAGTGTTTAGAGATTTTCTTTTTCTCTTTCTGGTATTGATTTCCAGTTTGATTCCATTATGCTTAGAGAATATACTTTGTATGATTTTAGTTCTTTTAAATATGTTGAGGTTTGTTTGGCTCGCCGGGATATGGTCTGTCTTGTAAATGTTTCATCGGCATTTGAAAAAAAAATGTATATTCTGCTATTCTTAAGTGGAGTATTCTGTATGTATTTCAGTGAGATCCTGTTGTTTGATTATGTTGTTCAGATCTTGTATATCCTTGCTGACTTCTTGTCCAGTAGTTCTGTCAGTTGCTAAGAGAGACATTTTGAAATCTGTACTATAATTGTGGATCTGTTTATTTTTCCATTCTGCTCCATCAGTTTTCTTATATTAATAGGCTTTATATTTTTTAGCAATTTTAAGTTTACATAGAAATTGAGCAGAAAGTACTGGAAGCATATGATTTTTATTCTTTAGCTTGTTGATCTGATGGACTATATTAATTAATTTTCAAATGTTAAAGGCATATCTAGAGTAAATCCCACTTGGTTGTGGTGTTCATTTTTAAAAATTGTTTGGTTCAATTTGCTAATATTTTTTAAGGATTGCTTCATCCATGTTCAAGAGAGATATTTGTTTGCAGTTTACTTTTTTGTAAGGTTTTGCTGGTTTGGGTATTAGGGTAATGCTGGCCCATGGAATGAGTTAAGAAATAGTCACTCTGCTTCTATTTTCTGCAACAGATTGTGGAAAATTGGTATCATTTATTTCTCCAGTGTTGATAGAACTCACCAGTGAATCATCTGGGCTTGGTACCTTCTGTTTGGGAAGGTTATTAATTACTGGCTTAGTTAAAAAATTTTGTTTCTCTCGAGACTTTCTCTTTCACCATGTTTTATTATTTAGAAATGTGTTTTTAAATTTTTTGGTATTTGAGGATATTTCAGCTCTCTTTCTGCTATTATTAGTTTAATTCCATTCTAATTCAAGAACATGCCTTTTGTGATTTCTATTCTTTTAAATTTGGTAAAGTGTTCTGTGGCCTAGAATGTGGTTTAACTTAATGAATTGTGCATTTGTATTTGAGAAGAATGTGTATTCTGCAGTGTCTAGATAAAATATTCTACAACGCTAATTGAATTCTAAAGTATTCAGTTAGATCCAGTTGATTGATGGTGCTGTTCAGTTCAAATCTATCCTTAATGATTTTCTTCCTGCTGAGTCTGTCACTTACTCATAGAGGGGTGTTGAAGTCTCCAGTGGTAATAATGGATGTGTCTCTCTGTCCTTGCAGTTCTATCAGTTTCCCCCTAATATATTTTGACTCTTCTGTTGCTAGGTATATACACATTAAGCATTATTATATCTTCTTGTTATATTGACCCCTTTATTATTGTGTAATACCCTTTTTCATCTCTGATAATTTTCCTTGCTCTGCAGTTGGCTTTGTCTAAAATTAATTTAGATACTCTGGCTTTCTTTTTGGTTAGTGTTACCATGGTATATCTTTCTCTAGCTCTTCAAATCTACCTGCTATTTTATATTTAAAGAGGATTTCAGTAGACAACATGTAGGTGGATCATGGGTTTTGTTGTTGTTGTTTACTCTGACAGTCTCAGTCTTTTATTTTATTATTATCATACCTTAATTTCTAGGGTACATGTGCACAACATGCAGGTTTGTTACATATGTATCCATGTGCCATGTTGGTGTGCTGCACCCATTAACTCATCATTTACATTAGCTATATCTCCTAATGCTATTCCTCCCCTCTCCCCCCACCCCATGACAGGCCCCAGTGTGTGATGTTCCCCTTCCTGTGTCCAAGTGTTCTCATTGTTCAATTCCCACCTATGAGTGAGAACATGCAGTGTTTGTTTTTTTGTCCTTGCGGTAGTTTGCTGAGAATGATGGTTTCCAGCTTCATCCATGGCCCTACAAAGGACATGAACTCATCCTTTTTCATGGCTGCATAGTATTCCATGGTATATATGTGCCACATTTTCTTAATCCAGTCTGTCATTGATGGACATTTGGGTTGGTTCCAAGTCTTTGCTATTGTGAATACTGCCTCAGTAAACATATGTGTGCATGTGTCTTTATAGCAGCATGATTTATAATCCTTTGGGTATATACCTAGTAATGGGATGGCTGGGTCAAATGGTATTTCTAGTTCTAGATCCATGAGGAATCGCAACACTGTCTTCCACAATGGTTGAACTAGTTTACAGTCCCACCAACAGTGTAAAAGTGTTCCTATTTCTCCACATCCTCTCCTGCACCTGTTGTTTCCTGACTTTTTAATGATCATCATTCTAACTGGTGTGAAATGGTATCTCATTGTAGTTTTGATTTGCATTTCTCTGATGGCCAGTGATGATGAGCATTTTTTCATGTGTCTGTTGGCTGCATAAATGTCTTCTTTTGAGAAGTGTCTGTTCATATACTTCGCCCACTTTTTGATGAGGTTGATTTTTTCTTGTAAATTTGTTTAAGTTCTGTGTAGATTCTGGATATTAGCCCTTTGTCAGATGGGTAGATTTCAAAAATTTTCTCCCATTCTATAGGTTGCCTGTTCACTCTGATGGTAGTTTCTTTTGCTGTGCAGAACCTCTTTAGTTTAATTAGATCCCATTTGTCAATTTTGGCTTTTGTTGCCATTGCTTTCTTAATTGGTATATTTAGACTGTTTACATTTAAAGTGATTATTGATACTTGGATTAATATTTGCCATATTGTAACTCTTTTTTATTTGTTGCCCTTGTTTCTTCTTTTTTTCCTGAATTCCCCTGTCACATTTTTTGTTTTAATTGAGCATTTTATATGATTCCATATCCTCACTTCTCCTAGAATATTAATTACATTTCTTGGTCATTGTTTTAGTGGTAGCCTTTGAGTATGAAATATACACTATAACAATCTACTTTCAAACAACACTATTCCACTTCATTAATGGTGCTGGTACTTTATAACACAGCATTTCCAATCCTTCTGTCTTATTTTGTATTACATTATTATCATTCATTTTACTTATTCATAAGCCATAATCACCCAATACATTGTTAGTATTATTTAGAGCTGTTACCTATTACATCAATTAAGAAGAAGACACTAGATTTTATTTTAAATTTTTTCTTCTCTAATGCTCCTACCTTTCTTTATGTATTTCTGTGTTTTTGACCTATATTGTTTTTCTTTTCTCTGAGGAACTTCTATTAACATGGCTTGCAAGGTAGGTCTACTGGAGAAAGATTTCCTCAATTCTGTTTATCTAAGTCTTTATTTCTACTTTACTATTTAGGATAATTTTACTGGATATAGAATTTTATATTAGTGTGTGTTTTCTCTCAACAGTTTAAATATTTCACTTCACTTTCTTCTTGCTTGCATGGTTCCTTAAGGGAAATCTGGCATAATTCTCATTCTTGCTCCTATGTAGGTAAGGTGTTTTATTTTACTCTGGTTTATTTCGAGATTTTATTTTTAAAAGATTTTATTTTAATTTTAAGAAAGTCTTCAATTTTTTGCAATTTGAATATGAGATGCCTAGGTGTGGATTTTTTTGTATTTAACCTGCTTGGTGTTTGCTGAGATTCCTGAACCTATGGTTTCATGTCTGTCATTAATTTTGAAACATTCTCAACTGTCATTATTTTAAATATTTCTTCTGGTTCTCACTCTCTTCCTTCTACTTCTGGTATTCCGATTATGGGTTACATAGGTTACACCGTTTGAAATTGTCCAACAGGGTCGGGCGCGGTGACTCACTTGCCTGTAATCCCAGCACTTTGGGAGGCCGAGGCGGGCGGATCACAAGTTCAGGAGATCCAGACCATCCTGGCTACCACGGGGAAACCACGTCTCTACTAAAAATACAAAAAATTAGCCGGGCGTGGTGGCGGGCGCCTGTAGTCCCAGCTACTCGGGAGGCTGAGGCAGGAGAATGGCATGAACCCAGGAGGCGGAGCTTGCAGTGAGCCGAGATTGCACCACTGCACTCCAGCCTGGGCGACAGA
This sequence comes from Homo sapiens, assembly GCF_000001405.40. Taxonomy (NCBI): domain Eukaryota; kingdom Metazoa; phylum Chordata; class Mammalia; order Primates; family Hominidae; genus Homo; species Homo sapiens. The sequence goes on along the minus strand of NC_000009.12, from coordinate 39,123,127 downwards.
GAGAGACTCCATCTCAAAAAAAAAAAAAAAAAAAAATTATTGTCCAACAGTTTGGATATTATGTTTCATTTTTCATTCTTTTTCTCTTTGTGTTTAATGGAAAAATTTTATTGACGTATCTTCAAACTCACTGATTCTTTCCTCAGCACTTCCCAGTCTTCCCAGACTTTGATGAGGCCATCAAAGACACTCTACAATTTTTACTTTTAATCTCTGTATTTCCTTCTGATTCTTTGAAATTTCATATCTTTGTTTATAGTACCTATCTCTTCTTGCATGTTGCCCACTTTTTCAACATAGAGCCCTTAGCATACTGATTATTATTTCAAATTCTTTATCTGATATTTCCAAATCTGTCATATCTGCATGTTTGCTTGATTTGTCTCATAAGACTGTATTGTTTGGCTTTAGCATACCTTGCAATTTTCTGTTGAAAGCCAGACATGTTGTATTGGCAAAGGAACTGAGGTAAGGAAGCCTTTAATGTAAGGTTTTATGTTTATCTAGTTAGTAGTTAGGCTGAATTTGCTCTTTGCATAACTGTGGTGTCAGAGGCCAAAATTTCCTCTAAGGTTATTTTATTTTTCTTTCTTCCGTTTTGAGTTTTCCCAGAGACTCTGTCTTAAATAGGGTCTAAAATTGACAGCTCTTTCATTTTTAATCTCCTGTTACTATACAGGTAATGTACTGATGTGATTGATGATAAGGTGCGGGAAGAGGAGAAGCATCGTATACTCATTTTTTTTTAATGTTTTTATTTTATTTTAATTTTTTTGAGAGAGTCTCGCTCTGTAGCCCAGGCTGGAGTGCAGTGGCGCCATCTCAGCTCACTGCAAGCTCCGCCTCCTGGGTTCACGTCATTCTCCCGCCTCAGCCTCCCGAGTAGCTGGGACTACAGGCGCCCGCCACCACGCCCGGCTAATTTTTTTCTATTTTTAGTAGATACGGGGTTTCACCATGTTAGCCAGGATGGTCTCGATCTCCTGACCTCATGATCTGCCCGCCTCGGCCTCCCAAAGTGCTGGGATTACAGGCGTGAGCCACCGCGCCCGGCCAGAAGCATCCTGTACTCTTAGGATTAGGTCAGTCTTTTAGAGAACCTGTCTTCCTGGACTGTGACCTTCAGAGTGCTTCTCAGCTTCCTTCCCCTTCCCTTGGGTAAGAAAAGAAGGGTAGAGGGGGCTGGTGCTGGGTATTTCCATTCCCCTAGGTGGTTTAGGCTCTAGTAAACTAGCTTTTTGGGGGATTAGAATGTTGTTAAGGAGAGAACATAATGTTCTGCGCTTATTTCAAAAATGTTTTCTCCTTCCCTCCCCTTATGTCTTAGGACCCCAGGACTGGAGACATAAGAGCATTTTTTTTCCTATCTTTATTCTGAGAACTTGATGGGGCTCTTCCTGGAGATAAAACTCTTGAAGGTGTGTTGACCCTCTAAGGCCTATCCCCCACTCTAGGAGTTTTCAATCTCTGTAGCTTGTCCTTGCTCAGTATCCATCAATTAGTCAGTTACATTCTAAGTGCTTTTACCAGACTCCACCATCTGCTTTGGCTCCATTAGCTGTGATGCTGTTTTCACTTGTCTCTGCAGCTTTAGGAGTAATGTTTGCCCTATGACTTTAACTGTGTAAGAAGAACTGTTTATTTTTAGTTAGTGCAGCTTTTTTCTTGTTGTGAGAATGGGAGCGATGACTTCCAGACTCTTAACGTCATATCAGATTGGAAACCAGAAGTCTCAATTTTTGCCTCATTTTTTTAAGGGTGTATTGTTTCTTGCATATACATTTATGTCTTCCTGGTGATTTTTTTTAAATCATTATGTAATGTCCCTGTTCTAGTATTTTTGTTCTGAAGTCTATTTTATGAGATAGCCATTCTGCTTTCTTTCAAATTTAATTTTTGCAGAGTGTATTTTTTCCATCCTTTTACTTTTAACCTGCCTATGTTTATTTTGAAGTGAGTTTCTTATAAATTTCTCGTTGTGTTATTTTTTTTCAGTTGATTCTGCCAACGTCTAACTTTTGTTATATTTTAACCATTTACATTTAAGGTAATTTTTATAATTTTCTTACTCGTTGCTTGGTATTATAGTTTACATATGTGACTTACCACAGTCAACTTAAATATCTTCACTCTCATAATGAAATATGTAATCCTTATGTCTATTTGGGTCCTTTATCTTCCCCACTTCTAAATATCATTGTCTTGAGTATCATATGGTATTACAATTTTTGTGTCAATTATCATATGTCATTTCAAAAATTGATAAGGATAGTCTATTACATTTATCCATATTTCTTCTCTTTTCATTTTTTTCCTGATGTTCCAAGAATCCTTTGTTATATTTTCCTTTCTTTTTGAAAAACCTCCTTTAGCCATTCTTTAGGGAATGTCTGCTAGCGACAAATTATTTTAGTTTTCTTTTGTGTTAAAAAGGTTTTTTGTTGTTGTTATTGTTTTGGAGATGGAATCTCACTCTGTCGCCCAGGTTGGAGTGCAGTGGCACAATCTCGGCTCACTGCAAGCTCCGCCTCCCGGGTTCACGCCATTCTCCTGCCTCAGCCTCCTGAGTAGCTGGGACTACAGGCTCCCGCCACTACGCTCGTCTATTTTTTGTATTTTTAGTAGAGACGGGGTTTCACCGTGTTAGCCAGGATGGTTTCGATCTGACCTCGTGATCCGCCCACCTCGGCCTCCGAAAGTGCTGGGATTACAGGCGTGAGCCACCGCACCCGGCCTAAAAAGGTTTTATTTCCATTTTATTCTTGAAGGATAGTTTCTCTGGATATATAATTTATAGTTGACAATTCTTTTCTATCAGCCCTGAAAAAAATATGCCATTCCTTCTGGTTCTGTAATTTCAGATGAGTAATCTACTATCATTCAAATTAGGGTTCTTTTACAGGCAGGTAATGTGTTATTCTCTCAGGCTGCTTTCAAGATTTCTGTTTTGTTTTGTTTCCAAAAAGTTCAATTATGATGGATCTTGGTGTCGATATTTTTGGGTTTATCCTTTTTTGGACTTAAACTTTACTTCCTAAATCTCTGGGTTTGTGTCTTTCACCACATGTGGGAAGTTTACAGCCAGTATTTTTTCAGTACTCTTTCAGCACACTTTCTTCTCTCTTTTTGAGATTCGGATGATATTGTCTGATAGGACCCTATGGCTCAGTTCTTTTTATATTCAGTCTGTTTTCTCTTTTTTGGTCAGGTTAGATAAAGCCTATTGATGGGTCCTCAAGTTCAGTGATTCTGTCCTCTGTCTTTTCACTCTATTCTTGAGCCCATTCAGAGTTTTTTAAAAAGTTATGTTATTGTATCTTCCAGTCCTGGGGTCCTAAGCTTCCTCTTTCTACCTTTCAGAATTCTCTTCGGTTGTCTTCTGTATTATTTCCAGAATCTATCATTATACTTGGTGGAAATAGCAGGGATAGACAAGTCTACAAGATCTTTTATCAGTGTAGAAGTTCACCCACTTACATCTTTTTGCTACTGTTTCTAAAAAAAATACATTTTTACTACTTTATGGGGAATATGGGAGATTTAGGTGTAAATTTACACTTGTACATTAGGATATAGTGAGTGTTTTGCTCTTTAATCTGCGACAGTTTAATGGTGAAGTCGGTAACTTTTAAAGTGGCATTCCGAGAAGAGTGTATTAATTTTTAAAAATATCTTTTACGTTGTAGTGACAAGGTTTTAGCACATTTTTAAAAGATTCCTGGTACTAATTCCTCTTTAAATTTTCCCAGATTGCCTTTTTTTTTTTTTTTTTGGCAGAGGGGCAGGTGATGGATAGTGGTGGTGGTAATGAATGCAGAGATCTTATCTATGGATGAGTTATAATTGAGTTGTAATAAGCAGTAAGGTAGAAGCTAAGTTCCAGATCTCAATTCATATTCCAATGGTAACAACCTATTGAAATTTGAAAAACAGCACCACATGATCAAGCATCTTTAAAAAACTGGTTGAGTTAATCCAATTTCATTTTCCTCATGGCCTCATCTGTGATGACTGCAACTTGTGGCCCCTGACCCCCTTCCTTTTTTAAGATAGGTGGCCTGACACCTGCTTTTTAAATTATCCTAACTTTACTGTGATGTGCAGTCAGTCCATCACCCCAATCTTCACTCCCAACCCCTGGCAGCATCCCTTGTCCTAATATGCAGTTCTATAGATCTGAGTTAGTGTCTGACTCTATCATTTAATCATTGTCAGTGCTGAGAAGGAGGTGCACTCGTCAGAGCTGTAGTTGACCCAGGGCACTTTGTTTCTTCGCATGAGAAATCTCTAACCTCAGAGATGAGAAAAGCCTATCAATGTCATTCCTTAACCTCCAAATAAAGAGTCAGGACATCCAATGCAATAAAAACAAATACCTCCAAAAATTAGTAAGTACTGACAGAGAGTACCATATCTTTCCAAATGTGTAATATACAGGTAGTTAGCAAAAAGATGGGATGAGATAAATCAATGTCTTTGTATAATATTAAACTTTCTCAATGAACATTTCATAATTTCAAATAGATTTTATCTTTAGTGTGCAAATTACTCTGGTATTTATTTTAATGGTGAATTTTTTTGAATGTTATTTCTATAGAAAGTATGTATCACATGCAACTGACTGATTTCTAATAGAAGAAAAATAGATGGAATCATTTAAGCCTAGATATTGAAATATTGGGGGAAAAACATTGGTTAGGCTTAAATAAACGTTTCAGAGGTAAAATACAAGTATTTAAGTATAGTTTCATTTTCTCTCTCTCTGTCTCTCACACATACACTTTACACCTGGGAGTAAAGGGAGCTATATGGGGAGGGTGGTAGTGAGGGACAAAGTAGATGTCATGTTTCTTATACTTGTCTTTCAGATGGAACCCCACTGAGCTGGTGGGTTGGAAGAACCAATGAAACACACACTTCCTGGGGAGGTTCTCTGCCTGATGCTCAAAAGTGTACTTGTGGATTAGAGGGGAACTGCATTGATTCTCAGTATTACTGCAACTGTGATGCTGGCCGGAATGAATGGTGATTTCCACATGATTTCCCTGCACAAAAATGTGGTTTTTATTCTTTAATTATGCATAGTTAATTAAATGTCAGACAAGCTGGTACAATAAGGTAACTAAAGTATGTTCAAGCAAGCTGAAATACAAGTTTTGATGAAATATGATCAGTTAATCTAAGGATTAAATTTTATGACCAAAGATTTACTAGTTCGTTGTGAATACTATATAATGTGTTTTTTATTTTTCGTAAAAGAGAAACAGCTGTTAAGTTTTCCACTCACTGGAAATCAAATATCATTCTCTGCGAAGTTTAGTTAATTAATTAACGTAGTATTCATGTGGCAATTCAAAAAGCAAATTCCTCCAAATCTTTGTCTTAAATTGATTTGGGATATAATGCTGCATATTCTATCTTTCTTTTAGAAATTAACATTAACACAAGAAACTCTGAGAGGTCCTGCATAAAAGGACTGTGTTTATTTTGTAGAAGCAACAATTTCCCACACTCATTGAAATCTTCAGTGCAATAGCAAAGCTTCAAGCACCAACTGTTCTGTAGACCATACTTTGAAACAACTAACATAGACTTTCTGGAATTTGAAAATTATTTTGTAAGCTTTCCTTTGAGCAGAAACAATTTTCTCATGTAGATTGCAATGCCTTTTTTTCAGAAGTTCTTTTTGAGGTTACTCTTGAAATGCATATTGGTTTTCTTTTTTTTATTTGTAATATGTAAATGTTTTCAACCTTTGGGTTCATGTCAGCAACTTAAAAAGCATTGTCATAAAACAACTAGATCATGTAGAGTACGTGCTTTAAAAAAAAACTTAGGCCAGGCACTGTGGCTCACGCCTGTAATCACAGCACTTTGGGAGGCCAAGGCAGGTGGATCACCTGAGGTCAGAAGGTTGAGACCAGCCTGGCCAATGTGGCAAAACCCCGTATCCACTGAAAATACAAAAATTAGCCGGGTGTGGCTGTGTGTGCCTGTAGTCCCAGCTGCTCAGGAGGGTGAGACAGGAGAATTGCTTAACCCAGGAGGTAGAGGTTGCAGTGAGCCGAGATCGCGCCACTGCACTCCAGCCTGGGCGACAGAGCAAGACTCCACCTCAAAATAATAATAATAATAATAATTAATAAATAAAAAATGTAATGGTCAATCCAGGTGTCAGTATAATTGATTTGGACATAAAATAGCTAATCTAAGCAGTAATTTGATTCCTAAAAATGGAGTTGTTTGGCCTGCATGGTAGTCCACTTATTTATCTGGCATAAAAAGTCTACTTTGCATCACTTTAAAAAATATTGTGAAGTTGGGAAAACTCACTTGAATCTACTGGAGCTTTCTATAGAATACATACTATACATTTACATGGATATTATTTTTAATCTTCCTCAAGTTCAAAATTACTAAATGATCATACAGATTTATGAGACACTCTTTTTGAATATTTTGATATGCAATCTTAATACAACTTTCTCTTACTTAAAAATGAATGCAGTTTTAGTGCAGTGAGTAACAGGAACAGATCTGATCCATAGTTTCAAATCTGACCACCAGTAAGTTTCAGGTCTGAAGTAATTTCCCATGAGTTAAAATGGTTTTGTACAATATTTTGTATGATGTACATTTTAAAGTGTCTGGTATGATAATGTGATGATGTGTGTTAGCTTTGGGCTCTAATGAGACAAACAGCGACCTTCAAATCTTTTGACGGACATCTTTAACAATCCTAGAGGTTTTCATTTCCTCCATTCCACAAGGGGCTCCTGCCTGTGAGGGCTCCAGCCCTCCAGCTCCTGGCTGTTCAGAAGACCTCCAGCTCATTGGTCTGTCCCCACCCCCATTCTCTACAGGTCAGAGAGGAGAGCATTGGCAGGTTATTACAAGAAAGCCAGAATGGCATATATGCTAGTGGCTTTATAACTTAGTTCGAAGAATGTTAACCGTTTTGTTTTGTTTTTGTTTTGAGACAGAGTCTCTCTCTGTCGCCCAGGCTGGAATGCAGTGGTGCGATCTCAGCTCACTGCAACCTGCGCCTCCCGGATTCAAGCGATTCTCCTGCCTCAGCCTCCCGAGTAACTGGGATTACAGCCGAGTGCCACACCCGGCTAATTTTTGTATTTTTAGTAGAGACTGGGTTTCACTATTGGCCAGGCTGGTCAACTGTTTTTTTGTTACAGAACCTTCTGTTAGTATTAAGTGCATACTTTATTGTAGACTTCACGTATGCTTAGGGCAGTAACCAGAGGAACGTATCACTTGGAGCCACCTGTATTGAGTGACCCTCCCATGAACTGAGTTTGAGGAGGGGAATGGGAGGAACTGAGGTGGGTGCAGGTCCTCTGATACCCTTAGCCATGTCACTTCAGCACCGTCAAGGACTGCACTGGTGTGACAGAAGCCCTGGGCTTTCATTTGGAAAAAAATTTAGGAGAGAAGCAGGTTTTAAAAATTAACTCCCCTCCTACATTCAGAAGGGAGCATTGTGGAGTCATTTGCTTTTTAACCTTATTTTATTTACTTTGCAGCTTCCAGTAGACAGGTCTATCCAACAGTAAGACCACAAGCATTCTGAAATCCTATCCCAACTTTTGTAGATTGTTTTGTAAATGTGGGGGTGTGTATGGGGGTGGGGGGGTGGGAAATTACAATTTCTATTTTAATTTTTCAAATAAAATTGATTTTTCAGTTTATAAAAATGGAATTTACCAGTCTCATGAAATGAAAAGATTTATAATTGTAATAATTTAGATTAAGGTGTAGACATAAGAACATAAATCTTAGTCTTTATTACTTATTTTCTATTACTGAGGTGTGCCTAGTAAGGTTTTCCTGGTGGAAAGTTTATAATAAAAATAGTATTTGGGAATGAAAGTAAAGTGAAAGCTATTTTAAGTCTCTTCAGGCATATGTCCGTTAATGGGGCAGGCAGTATTGTTAATATAAACCATCGCCATTTTTCCGTAAGTTGTCCCTGTAATCAGCAACTCGTCTAAAGCATATTACTTAAAAAAAAGTTTATGATCAGACAGTTCCTCAGGCACAGTAAGAATATTCTATCAAATAACTATAACATGCCAAAGATTTATTATAAAAACAAATATATTTAAAAGGCACTATAATGATTTAAAATATTGAACTATGCTGCAAGTCAATATATGTGTATAAATGTATAGTGGACTATGTTCAAATAGACCAATATATTCTCTAAAATATACATATAACATATAATTCAGCTGTCTGCAAAAATCCACAAGTTGTTTTGCTAATATAATGATGACACATGTAACTGTAATATTATTTTACTTAAGAATTTAAATAGGACTTTTGTGTGATTATCTTAGAGTCTTTAAAAGTAACCACAAAAAAAAGCATAAAATAAGATGGTTTAAATGCATACAAGTGTACAAATAATCATAATAAATATGAGTAAACTCTGTTCATTTAAAAACCAGACATTAGATTTTATCATATTGGATTTTTAAAGAAGCTATAGCTTATTTACAAAAGATAAAATATAAGCACTCAGTGAAGTTGAAACTAAAAGAATAGAAAATATTTACCGAGTAAATACAAATCAAAAGAAAGCAGATACAGCTGTATTATGTCAGACAAAGATGAAAAGCATTGTTAGGGATAAACTTGAACTCTATCTAATGCTGAGATAAACTCACTAGAAAGATCTCACTACACTTGTGTGTATCATCAGATTGTTTAAAATATATAAAGAAGTGGCAGGGCGCCATGGCTCACGCCTGTAATCCCAGCACTTTGGGAGGCTGAGGCGGGCAGATCACGAGGTCAGAAGATCGAGACCATCCTGGCTAACACAGGTGAAACCCCGTCTCTACTAAAAATACAAAAAATATTAGCCAGGCATGGTGGTGGGCGCCTGTAGTCCCAGCTACTCGGGAGGCTGAGGCAGGAGAATGGCGTGAAGCTGGAAGGCAGAGCTTACAGTGAGCCAAGATCACACCACTGCACTCCAGCCTGGGCGACAGACCAAGACTCTGTCTCAAAAAAAAAAAAAAAAAAAGTATGTGTGTGTGTATATATATATATGTGTGTGTGTGTGTGTGTGTATATATGTGTGTATATATATGTGTGTATATATATGTGTGTGTGTATATATATGTGTGTGTGTATATATAGAGAGAGAGAGAATTAACAAATATGCAAAGGCAAATTGACACCCAAAACAGTGGAATAATTAACATAACATTTTTGGGAATGAGTAAGTGAAGCAGGTAAGAATATTTTAATATTATAATTAACAAACTTGATATAGCAGCCATATATCGTTTAGTAAGGAAAAATTATTTCTTTATAGAATGTATTATACATTATTGTTGAATAAGTATAAAAAATTTTGTAAATGGATGGAATCTTAACAAATTTTATGGAATTGTCATGATGGAAACTATATTCTTAACTGTAATCAATAATGAATATATAATTTTTAAAAGTTCATGCGTGTGTCAGTTAAAGACACAAGAGGAAATAAAATAGATGTAAGTGATAAAAAGTTTGGAAAAGAAACAAACCTGGCAGATATTGTAGATAATATGATTGCCTACATAGAAAATCCAAAATAATATAAAGAAATATCAGGAAAAATGAGAGTTCAGTAAGTTTGCTGAATTTATGGTCAGTCAGTATTGAGGAATTACTTGAATTTCTATAAAATCTTAAAATAATTACCATTACACACCTAGAAAAATTTTATTTGCAATATTAACAAAAATGTAAAGTTCTGTGGAATAACTGCAGTACTTTTATGGAAAAAATTACAAAATTACAAAACTTATTCAAGAGAATTAAGGACAGCCAAATAAATGGATTGACTCACTACTGTCGTGGATAGTATGACTCAGTATCTTAAAGCAGTAGTTCTCAATCGGGGGTGATTTCGACTCTTGGGACATTTGGCATTGTCTGAAGACATTTTTGTCATCACACAGAGAGGAAGGTTGTTTATATTAGTGTCTATTAATTAGAAATCAGGGTGCTGCTAAGCATCCTACAGTGCACAGGACAGCCCCCCCATAACAAAAAAAAATTAGCCCAAAATATCAGTAACGCTGCTGTTGAGATACCCTCTTTTAAAGTTGACATTCTCATCAAATTAGTCTGTAATTTTAACAAAATTCAAAAAAATGCCAAGTGGTTTTACTTGTGTGGATTGCAGCAACCTGGTTTTAAAATTCATATGGAAATTAAGGATGAAAGGATAAGCAAGATAATTTTTAAGATGAAAAATAAAGTGAAGAAACTAGTTCTGTTAGCTGTCAAGACATACTGTATTGCTGTAGTAATTAATGCAGGTTGAATTGGCCAGAAGATAGGCAATTAAACAGAAACTGAGAATCTAGAAATTTTTTAAGTGTGTTAGATGTGGATCATAATGATTTTATTATTGCTGACCTACTCCCCCAAAATAATCATTAACAGTTGGGCTGGGCGCGGTGGCTCACACCTGTTATCCCAGCACTTTGGGAGGCCAAGGCGGGCGGATCATGAAGTCAGGAGTTCGAGACCAGCCTGACCAACATGGTGAAACCCCGTCTATACTAAAAATACAAAAATTAGCTGAGCATAGTGGCGCACGCCTGTAATCCCAGCTACTCTGGAGGCTGAGGCAGGAGAATTGCTTGAATCCTGGGGGTGGAGGTTGCAGTGAGCAGAGATCACACCATTGCACTCCAACCTGGGCGACAAGAGTGAGACTCTGTCTCAAAGAAAAAAAAAAAGTTAAAAAGTTGACTTAACATTTCTCCCTTTTAGCTTTCTTTGCAACCTCCCAAACTTATGGCCCTACTTTGCCTTAAATAAAGTTCCCTGGCAAATAATAAGTAGTAGCTTTTAGAAGTTTTCACACTTCCTAGGAAAGTACAATTTCCAGAACCGTAGGAATTTCTAATAAATAAAAATTTTAATAAAATATAAAATAAAAGCAAAAAGTCTTTGAAAGTTCTCTTACTGAATTTTTAATACTGCTGCAAGAGATTATGGTACCTATGAAAGCACTATTTCCAAGTGTAGACTATAGTATAAGCTTTAGAAAATAATAGAAAAGAAAAATGAGATGTCCCTATTAATTAGGAAGTTTTGAGGAAGTCTGATAACTATGACAAATCCTGAGTATTCTATTTTGATCTCCAAAGGTTGGGAATCTGCCTGTAACAATAAGAAACTGGTGAAAAACACTGGCTATCTTTATGCTCAGAATGAAAACACCAGACTTTCCAAAACAACTGAAAAAACAAGACTTTATTATAGTATCTGCCCTAATTAAACTGAAATGTGGATTTCATTTACACATTCTCAATATTTTGCACAGTCAGTATTGAAAATGGAATGAAACTTGGAGCTCCCGTGAAATAGATCTTTTAAAATACAAGCATCCTCCATAAATAATTAAATTGCATTTTCTCTACTAGACTATCTTGCTAAAATGATGATCACAGAAGTTGAAATGGTAATTTTTAATGGCTACCACCACATTAATAAAAAATTTCCTAGACCTACCTCATTCAGCAGGAGACATATTTCTAGCTTGTCTACCATCAATCCACTCTAAAGCTGAATGGTGATGCCTTTAGATAATCCATATTCTGTTCTTTGCATAAAAATGAATAACAGAATCTTAACTAGGTAAAGCAACAGGGTTTTAGTCTGAATTTTAGAAATAAGCTTTCTTTACCATTAAGTGTATTTTTTCAGGGAATAATCTTAAATAATATAGCCACTTTATTTTAGTTTTATATTTTCCAATTTGAAAGTTTGATACCTAAAGTCTTTTATAAAAGAAGTTGATTAATGGGTACAAAAGTCGAGTTAAGTAAAAGAAATTCTAGTATTTGATAGAACTAGAGAAATTATAGTTAACAGTAATTTATTGGATATTTCAAAATAGCCAGAAGAGAATTGTAATGTTCCCACCACAGAGGATAACTGCTCAAAGTGATGGATATCCCAGTTATCCTGATTTGATCATTATGCATTGTATTCTAGTATCAAAATAGCACATGTGCCCCCAGTATATGTACAACTCTGACATGCCAATTTAATTTTTTTTAATTCAGAAAGCCTTATTTTGAAAATACAAAAGTGTTGCAATGATGAAATATCAATTATTGTGATCTTTTGCCACAAATGCATACAAAAGAAGGTTTGAGAACTGGGCAATTTAAAAAATACAGTATTTACTAGATACTGTGGAGTTTCTAACCATAACTGGACTAAGAGTGTTTTGTCTGTAAATCAGAATGTACATGCAGTTGAGACATATATGTGATAAAATATAACCAAAAGTATATAAATATAAGCATTTTGTTATATATGCATATATGCAATATTTATTATTGGCCAAATATTTATTACATATACAGTTACATACACATATATAATAAAATACTTTTGCAGCAGAGTAGACAAATGCCTTTATTTTGGCCAGAGACAAAATTAGTGGCATAGCTAAGACCAGGACCCCAGGTTCCCCTAGGGGATCCTCCAGGTCTCTTTGTATTGGACCCAGACGTGTGCATTTATTTTCCCAGTCACATAATTAATACTCATGGTATTCAATAGGCTGTGTGCTTTCAGAAGGCAGAGACTAAAATATATTTTTTACTCTGTGTCCTCAATTCCCAGGACAATGTCTGTTTGACAAAAGGTGAGCGCTGAGTGTGTGGGGTTTTTTGTTTGTTTTTTGTATTTTTTGAGACAAGGTCTCACTTTGCCACCCAGGCTGGAGTGCAGTGGCGCACACATGGCTCACTACAGCCTCTACCTCCCAGGCTCAAGGGATCCTCCCACCTCAGCCTCCCATGTAGCTGGGACTACAGGTGTGCACCATCACACCCAGCTAATTTTTGTATTTTTTGTAGAGACGGGGCCTCACTATGTTGCCCAGGCTGGTTTCGAACTCCAGAGCTCAAGCAATCTGCCCACCCCAGTCTCCTAAAGTGTTGGGATTACAGGCATGAGCCACTGTGCCCGGCCTGTGTTTGTTGCCTGAACTACTGGGAGCAGTGTTTCACAGACCACTTTCACACTCATTAGTCTATGTATTACTTATAAGGGTGTAGTATGTATTTGGTTTTGAATCTGTGGGATTCATTTTGCATTTACAAAGTTAACAAGGAAAGAAATACCCAGTAATCATAAAAGGACTTTAAAAAATAATGATAAATTAATATTCTGCAAAATGAATATCTAAATCCAGTGTTACTATTTTTATTTGTAATGAATAATCACTTAGATATTATTCTAAGACAATTTTAGAAGGGAAGTTACCTTCTTGATTTTTCCCCTTCTCTGTAATCATTTAGATCAGGAATTGGCAAACGGGTCAGGAGTTGATAACCTCTTGCTTTGGGTGAAATCCAGACCACTAGTCTATTTTTGCATGGCAGTGAGCTAAGAATGTTTTCTTTACATTTTTAAAAGGTTGAAAAATAAAAAGAATATTTCATGTCTTATAAAACTTGTATGAAATTCAGATTTCATATCCATAAATTTTTATTGCAACCCAGCCATGCCTGTGTCTGTGGCTGCTTTCACACTTTGGTGGCAGAGTTGAGTAGTTGCTGTGAGAAGCTGCATGGCCTGCTGAGCTAAGATAGCTTGCTGTATGGTCCTTTACACAAAATGTTTGCCCATCCCTGATTTAGATTCATGGTAGTCTCTGTGCTCTCAAAATATTGAAAATGTTAAGTATTCTGTTAAGCTCTATGATGTTGGTTTCAAATTGAGATAAGAGATCAGAGTTAATTTTGCCCGTATGTTAATCAGAATAATTTTAATGGTTTCGGTTGTTGTTCTTTAGGACTAGTGACACAATAGTCCTTTCCCAAAAGGAGCACCTGCCAGTCACTCAGATTGTGATGACAGACGCAGGCCGACCACATTCCGAAGCAGCTTATACACTGGGGCCACTGCTCTGCCGCGGAGATCGTAAGTAGTGTCAAGAAAAAGCTTTATTTTCATAATAACTTTTTTTGGTTATAAAAGAGTAGACAAATGCCCTTGTTCTTGCCAGAAAGAGAATAGTGGCAGTACTAGGACTGGGGCGAATATCAGGAAAACACACATACCATAAAGGCACAGTCAGTACTGAAGATCTGTGTTTCCTTACTGAAGCATTAGTTTATAGAAAATGAATCATCTTTGTTTTAACTTATTACTTGCTTGGCTGGATTTATTATCAATTGATTGTATTTTTTCCAGAACAATCATGAGATGAACTATTTTCTGAATTCTAAGGGATATTTATTCATTGCCCTTATACTCTTCAGACAACTATAGTGGTAGGAAATTATTGGACACTCTCTATTTTCTGACCTCTGTACATTCTGTTTTACATTACATGGCACCGAATGTGTATTAATCTCTTTCCTGCAGCATTTTCGTTCATGGGTGGCTTTCATGGTCAAGTCCTCGCTCCTCCACCTCAGTGGCACTATAAGCCCAGGGTTCTTAGAGGATCTACCTACTGCGTAGCACGGGAACCACAACTAAGCTAGTAAAAATCTTCTTTCCCTGAGAAAAATTTTAATAGTGTTTCTTACCCACTAGCATCATACATTGCCGTGGAGAAGTCTGAGACTAAATGTATTTTTATTTCCTGCTCTACCTCAATGTGTGGAGGCTACTTCTGAGAGAGGTGGTTCACCAAGGAGCCTGAGCCTCTCTGTACATTCTTGCCGAGTGTGCCAGATGGCGTGGCGTCTCCATCCCCTAATACCAAGCAGTTTCTGTAGCCAGTCGTGTAGGCAGCTAAGTAGTTCAAAGAGAACACAACATCACTATCGATGCGTACTCACTCCCCAGAGAGGGGGGGGACCGGCTTGTCTCCTGCTTGATGAAGGAGTCCCGGACCCTTGTCTGGGGGCTCCTCATCTGAGATGCAGACCTACCCACTGTGTGTGTAGCATCCACCTGGGCTGATGGATTGTGTTGCCCTGTGAAATTTGGAGATAGGGGGAACCAATGCAAATATTCTGACACTCATGCTGCATGCTGTGCTGTGAGCAGTAAAGTTCTTTAACTCTGACCCGGAAATTTTGTGTTTTCTATCAGCATCCATTAATCTGTGGCAAGCTAAATTGTTAGCTTGCAAGTAGGGTGAAATCTCAGACTCCTCACAGCTCTTGACAGATATGTTATCCTTCAATTTCAAAAACTTATCCAGAATATGCCTTGGCATTAATTATTCTGTTAATTTTTTCTAAAATGAAATATGCTTATTTTGACCGAAATATTCTGTTCTCTTTTAAGAAAAAATGGTTTTTATTATGCTTTGAATACTTTGTTTCATTTGTTGGATTCTCTGCATCTGGGACTGTTGACTTGTTTCCTTTGCCCCCCATACATTTTTTCTGTTTCTTCCAATGGCTTTAATCTCTTTGTCCTTCTCCTATGCATTCAATATGATTATTCTAAGCTTCTCCCAATGTCAGTAATTTGTTATCAGCTGTGTTCTCCATTTCCAGATATTTCCGATTTATCTGTTACCTCTGTGATTTTGTTTGGGTCTTTGATTTTTTTTCCTTAAAAATCATCTTTTCTGTTTATCTCATATTTTAGCTCTTATTTTACTGAATTGGTTTTTATATTATTCCCATAGTGTAAAACTCTTATGAAATTTTTCTTTCCTTGTGTTCTCTCTTAATTTCCTTCCTCCATCCCATTCAGATGGCTCCTTCCTTCCTTCCTCCCTCCCTCCCTCCCTCTTTCTCTCCCTCCCTTCCTCCCTCCCATTCAGTCTGGCTTTTATACTCCTTCCTTCCTTCCTTCCTTCCCCACTCCCTCCCTCCCTCTCTTCTTTCTTTCTCTCTCTTTCTTTTCTTTCTTTCTTTTTCTTTCTTTCTTTCCTGTCTTCTTTTTTTCTTTTTCTTTCTCAGTATGTTTGCACTGTTTCAGCGCTTTTTGAAACATTGTTTATACTTGTAGTGTAAGTCTACACCACAGGTCTGTCTGGCAGGTCTGTCCAGACATTTAATTCATTTATATGGAATGGAGTTGAATTCTTCTCGACATTCATCTCTTCACAATCAGACACATACTTCTTGTCCCTTCTGAACTGCAATAGCAGGACTAGAGTTGGTCATCCTATCAATTTTTTTTCCCATAATCTAAGAGCTCAAGGGAGGGATCTGTTGAATTGTATCTGATTTACTGGCCATTCTCTGTGCCGTTTTATCTTCAAGAATTATTAAATGTCCTGTGCCAGGCATCACACTGAAGCATGGAGGGTATATCTGCAGGCTTCAGATGCCTCCCACAGTTCAGTAATAACCCCTGGAAATTTGTAGCTTTTTCCCCTGCCTATTGATACTCTGACATCAAACACTGGTTTCTAGGTACTCTGTACTTCTCAAAAACATTTTCTAGATTATTTTCTCTCTGGAAATTTACCTCAGCCCTTCATTTCTCTCCAAACGTGGCTGTATTTGTGAGACTCTTCAGGATATGTCATTCACCTTCAGTTTATATCCTACTTTCAGCAAGACTTCTGAAAGTATGGAGAAGAGAAAGTGTGATATTTGAAATATTCCCTTCTCTTTTTGGGAGACTGAGATGGGAGGATGGCTTGAGCCTAGGAGTTCAACACAAGCCCGGACAAGATGGTAAGACCCCGTCTCTTACAAAAAAACTAAAAATTAGCTGGGCATGGTGGCCTGTAGTCCTAGCAACTAGGAAGGCTTAGGTGAGATGATCTCTTGAGCCCAGGAATGTGAGGTGGCAGTGAACTATGATCATGCCACTGCACTCCAGCCTGGGTGACAAAGTGAGACCTCATCTCTAAAATAAATAAATAAATTGATTAATGAAGAAAGAAAGAAAAATAAAATATTCTCTTCTGTAAAACTTGTAGATTCCTCTTCCTTTCTCTTTTCCTTTCCTTATCTTCATCTCTGTTTTCTTTAACATAACACTTATTGATTCTTTTCCCTTCTTTTGGGGCAGCTGGGACTAGGGGATCTGCAGGGATAGGGTCAAGGAATGACCACTGGGTTAGAAGCTTGGTTCCACACTGGGGAATGAGCAAATATGTAAATACAGTGAGGAGAGTAGGAGTGACCTTCTCACTGAGGAAAGAGTTATACATGTGGGAAGGAGGAAGACTGTAATGAACCCTGTGGTGCTGGGTTAAAAACGGAGGTATCCACATGAACTCATGGATTTTAATATACATAATAGATAACTGTAGAATACACATAGAAGAGAGAGACTGTGTGTGTGAGAGAGAGAGAGAGAGATACAAATACACATATTTCCTAGCTGACTACTGAGAGGGCTAGAAGCAATGACACCCTAGTAAATAGCCTGCAGATCTCGGCTTCTAAACACCATTTTCTATCATTCTCTGCTAAAAAAGAAACCACGACTCCTTGAAGAAATGGCTGATTCCAGAAATGTGGCAGAGAAAATGTAAGATGAGCCTGGATCATTTTGTTATGACAAAGGGGAAAGAAAAAGCTGAAAAAGGCATGGGTGTCAGCTTAAAGGAGCTGCCACATTTGAGACAACTTAAGCATCAAAATAAGTTATAGAGTATAAACCATTGAATAGAATACAAATTCAAGAGTGATGTGAATAAACCAATGGATAAATACACAAATAAATTAGTAAAAGATCAAGAGAAAAGCTATTTCTTGGTTTGTTTGTTTGTTTGTTTGTTTTTGAGATGGAGAGTTGCTCTGTCACCCAGGCTGGAGTGCAGTGGCATGATCTCACCTCACTGCAAGCTCCGCCTCCCGGGTTCACTCCATTCTCCTGCCTCAGCCTCCCGAGTAGCTGGGACTACAGGCACCCACCACCATGCCTGGCTAATTTTTTGTATTTTTAGTAGAGACGGGGTTTCACCATGTTAGCCAGGATGGTCTGGATCTCCTGACTTCATGATCCGCCCGCCTTGGCCTCCCAAAGTGCTGGGGTTACAGGCGTGAGCCACTGCACCTAGCCGAGAAAAGCTATTTCTGACGGAGGCATGTCAACCAATTAATGTGGAAGGAATGACAGAGCTTAGAAGATCACCACTGGCAGCCATCAGAATAAAAATTCAATCAGGAGCCATCAATATATTGTAAAACCATTGGATGAAGAAATTTTTAACTGGGTAAAGTTGTGTTTCTGTAACCTTAAAGTGTCAAAAATACATGAATTACAAAGAGAAAAATAATAACTTCATGTTGGAGAAAGTGGACAAATGCCACTTTACAAAGCAGTTGAAACTAACAGGACCAGTGATGGGCTGATCAGCATTGCTGCCTGCTGCTGCGACACACTGAGGAGAACACAGCAGCCCTTCTGTGGTATTTTTGACAAAAATGCACAACATGAATCCAATCATGAGTATGTCAGACAAATCCAAGTTGAGGAACATTCTGCAAGTCAACTGAAAAATACCAAAAAGTCAAAAGTACACAAAAGATAAGAAAAGACTCACACACTGTACCAGAATGAAGGACACTAAAGAGGCCTGAGGAATACATGTGATGTGCAGTCCTGTGATGGGTTTTGGACAGAAGGGAACAAATAAGCTTCTTCTTGTTCTTGATTGTTCTTGCCATGAAAGGAATTAAGACAGTGTGTGTGTGTGTGTGTGTGTGTGTGTGTGTGTGTGTGTGTGTATGTGTATGTGCAGGAAGGAAAGCAAGAGTCTGTGTTCTGGCTTCTGGAGTCATTTATCCAACTACCTCCTTCAAATCTCCACTTGGATGCCTAATAGATATCTCAAATGAAACATGTCCCAAACTGAGCTGCTGCTCGAACCTGCCTCTTTAGAATTATTTCCCCTCCCAGTTAGACCAAAAACCCCAAAGTCACCTCAGACTCCACCCTTCTTCTCACATCTTACCGAGTTCTTCAGTAAGTTCTGTTGGTCGTACCTTTGAGGTGATTCTGAACTTGACCCTGTCCCTACTGTGTTGCTGCGCGATCCCCTGACTGGTCTCATTGCTTTTGCTTCGCTTTTGTTTGGCCTTCTCTGAACACAGAATTCTAATCCTCACCATAATCACCATTTAGCTCTTGATGTCATCAGTATATGACATGGATGCTCAGAACCCCCAGTGAAAGCTCATATAGATTCTATTAATGTATTTAGCAGTCATAATCCTGTAAGTATCAAATGTAGCTGTTATTTTTGTTTCATGACTTTTTTTCCTTTTGTCGTTTTCTCTATTGTAAACAGAGTCATTCTGGAATTCAGCTTCCTTCAACACTGAGACTTCATACCTTCATTTCCCTGCTTTCCACGGAGAACTCACTGCTGACGTGTGCTTCTTTTTTAAGACCACAGTTTCCTCCGGGGTGTTTATGGAGAACCTGGGGATCACAGATTTCATCAGGATTGAGCTGCGTGGTAAGCTCGCCACTCTGGACAAGTCACAGGGTACCCATTATTTAGCAATAAAAGCTTTAACTCAACAAAATGTTAGTATTTCATTCTTATTTTGTGATTCTATTTCATTATAAAATACTAAACTTCTATGATTTTAGGTAATTTTTTTTTTTTTGAGAGAGGGAGAGAGGATTTTGCTGTGTCACTCATGCTGGAGTGCAGTGGCATTATCTTGGCTCACTGCAACCTCAGCCTCCTGGGTTCAAGCAATTCTCCTGCCTCAGTCTCCTGAGTAGCTGGGACTATAGGCAGGCACCACCGTGCCCAGCTAATTTTTGTATTTTTGGTAGAGGTGGGGTTTTCCCATGTTGACCAGGCTGGTCTTCAACTCCTGGCCTCAAGTGATCTGCCTGCCTCGGGTTCCCAAAGTGCTGGGATTACAGGTGTGAACTGCCACACCCAGCCAGTAATCATTTTTAAGAGAAAATAAAACAATGAAGCATGAAGCACGTAATAATCCATTAAAATGTCATGCCTTCCCTAGAGTACAGAACAGCAGAGCCAGAGCTTTAAACCAAACTCATCACATTGTTTACTGAATTCCAAAAATATTTGACCAGACATATTGTTTTTTATGTACCCAAAGCTTAATTTATGACTGTCAAAATTTACATTCAGTGTTTATAGAATTAGATGAGACTTTGAGCCGTTTGTAAATAAAATTACTGAAACCTCAAAAACAAATACTATTTGGTATTCTAGCTATAGGTACATAGCTATGGGTAGTCCAGCTATGGGTACATATCTCTACTATTTAGGACTTAACAAGGTTGAATTGTGAACTCTGAGGATAAATATGTTAAAATCCGTTCTGTTTTCCTCCAGGATACAGATTTATTCTGCCCCCACCCCAACTCACAGTCCCGTTTTTCTGCATCGCCGTCATTATCTCCTTCCATCCTGAGCGTGCCTTCATGTTTTCCTGTGTCTGCACAAGACTCAATTTTCTGTGAATTTGCTTGAGCAATATTCATATCTAATATTTCTAGCTCCCACAGAAGTGACCTTTTCCTTCGATGTGGGGAATGGACCTTGTGAGGTCACGGTGCAGTCACCCACTCCCTTTAATGACAATCAGTGGCACCACGTGAGGGCAGAGAGAAATGTTAAAGGAGCGTCTCTTCAAGTTGATCAGCTTCCTCAGAAGATGCAGCCTGCCCCTGCTGATGGGCACGTTCGTTTACAGCTCAACAGCCAGCTCTTCATTGGTGAGTGCTGGTGGTTTATAACTGAATTTAGTGTGAGTCCAGAGAGGGACCAAAAGAAAATAAGAACTGTGATGTACTGAGAGCAACAGTTGCCAACAACAACTACTGCTTATTGGTACTATTTGCTGATAACCTGGTAGGTTCCAGGAGCTTGCTGTGTGCTTCTTATTTGACATTTCTTTTTTTGTTTGTTTGTTTTTGTTTTTGTTTTTGTTTTCAGACAGAGTCTCACTGTGTCGCCCAGGCTGGAGTGCAGTGGTGCAATCTCAGCCCACTGAAACCTCCACCTGCCGGGTTCAAGCGATTCTCCTGCCTCAGCCTCCTGAGTAGCTGGGATTACAGGCGCAGGTGCCACCACGCCTGGCTAATTTTTGTATTTTTCATAGAGACACGGTTTTACCATGTTGGCCAGGATGGTCGTGATCTCTTGACCTGATGATCCACCCACCTCAGCCTCTCAAAGTGCTGGGATTACAGGCGCGAGCCACCGGGCCCTGCAGTATCTCAGTGTTTAGGTATCAATGTTTAGGTATTGTCATCTGTTTACAGATGAGATAGCCAAGCCTCAGAGAAGTGGAGTAACCAGCTAATGAGAGGGATCCCAGGATAGCCGACCCCCAAACTTGAACCATTCACATTGCAGAGGATTGGCATATGTGACAGCTATATTTTATCAACACTATTAGTGAGATCATTAGACATTTTTATCCATTCCTTCAGTTTCACTTCTCGGTGGAGTTAGAGAGCTTGTAATTGGGACAGAAGTCCTCCAGGGTCCACTCAAAACCAGATCGCAGGATACCCGCTGATTGGAAGCAGCACTGCGCACCTCCCCCGCGGCCAGGCTTCCAGGAGCCCACTCCCGGTTTTCCTCGCTGCTGTTCTCACTTCTGGGGCTCTCTCATCACAGGCTCCTTGTTTATAACCTGGTCTGGCTCATCTGTTCTTGCACTCCATTTATTTAAAGGTGATAGCTCTGGAAGTCTTTCCTTTAGTTTGCTTACTTACTGTTTTATCACTGTTGTTTATTTTTCCATATTGCTTTTGAAACTATTCTAACTTAGGAGCTACACAGATTAAAGCTCTCACTTGTTCATTTCTTAAGTGTTTTAAAGTGAATAAGGATGCAATCTAATTAAAACTGGACTAAATCACAAATTATCATCCAACCTAATTTACAGGGAAGGGTAGATACAACTTCCAGGTACTAAATGCTACACGTGAACCCACGTATGTATGTGGATGTGGATGGGGTGTTATACCATGACTTCCTAAAACCTAGCTTCAGGCGTGGTTAGCTCTTCTATTAAGGTGCAGTGAGGCTTTTTCAAAGGACATGAAACCATCAAACTACTGGAAAGGAGGACTACACGGAGGGGTCAAACCAAGAACTTGATTTTCTCACTTGTAATCTTGGAGATTATTTAAGGGAATGCCTAGAAACACAATTAGCGTAAAATTCACCTAGAATCAGCATTCATTGCGGTGGATGAATCACTGGCTTCAGAATCACCCACAAAGCTGATTGATAGTTCAGATTTGGGGCCCCCACCTTAGGCCCACCGAATTGGAATCTCTGGGAGGAGG